>NC_000013.11:70074772-70226287 GCF_000001405.40 Homo sapiens | reverse complement strand
AGTTAATATGTGAGTTCAATTAGATAATTTAGTAGATAGAGTATTTAAAATATTTTTGTTATTGAGATGATATAGTGTGGCAGTACTCATTTTATTGACAATTACAATGCATAATTAATCTGTTCATACCATTGTCATGTTTGGCTTCTACTGATGTAATTAAACAGTAACATTAAATATAAAACGTGTCCCTTGAAATAGCATTGCTATTAGTTAATTACATGGTAATGTAAAATTAAAATTAGATGAAATAGAGTAAATATCTAGAAACAAACTAGAAACAAACAGAAGACCTCTGTAGAATTTTTTAAGTGTTTCAAATTTAGTATATCTTGCTCTTACATCCAGGTACGTAGTTTTATGTTGTTGTTGTTTTTTGTTTATTTTTAACATGTGCTAGAAAATTCTCTGTAGTGATTTACTGTTGAGAATCTTTTAAGCTTCATTTTTGTGAGCCTGGAGGTTAACATAGTTTTTCAGAGTTTCTAGTCACTCTTATTATCATTTTTATAACCACTAGCAATAAGCAAGGCATGACCTTTCTCAGCTTGTAAATGTCAAGTGGGCTGCTGTTGGATAGCATGTTTTCAGACATATATTAAAGTCAAGAAATGCCTATAAAATGTTTGAATTAGAAGATATTTATCATCTATCCACCTGCAAATAACAGGGCGTTTGTGTGAAGAATTTTTTAGTGTCTATTTTAATTGTGTAACTGATACAGTGTTTATTTACTTCTTTTATTGTTGTTTAAGATTTTTATGATATAACAATGTCAAAATATAAATAGAAGGCTATGACACTGGCCTTTCTTTCTGGTGATGTGACTACACAAGTCATTTCAAAATAACATTTTTTGACAGAAAAATGGTACTAAAATTAAACAAAAAGCAGCTTGCAATTACTTTCAAAAATATTTAGATCCATCTACAGAAGTTCATTCAAATAACCAGAATCGGCCACGTGCGGTGGCTCAGGCCTGTAATCCCAATAGTTTGAGAGGCTCAAGTGCGCATATCACTTGAGCCCAAGAGTTTGAGAGCAGCCTGGGCAACACGGCGAGACCCTATCTCTACAAAAAAATGCAAAAATTAGCCAGGCATGGTGGCACACGCCTGTGGTCCCAGCAACTCAGAGACTGAGGTGGGAGATCACTTGAGCCCAGGAGGTCAAGGCTGCAGTGAGCTGTGATTGCACCTCTGTGCTCCATCCTGGGTGACAGAGCAAGACCTCATCTCCAAAAAGACAAAAACAAAAAACCCTACAAGTAACCAGAATCTGTTTTTTTGCATTCAAACACAAGAATATTAAAAACAAGAAGCCCTCAGTCACACAACATAAGACACTAATATATAACAGCACACTTTTTTCCTCTGTACTTTTTACTTGTCAGTGCTCTTTCACAAATATTTCTTCTGAAAACCTCACAATTCTTTTATGAGGTGTGGAAACCTAGTGTTATTGTGACCATTTTACTCATGTATGAACTGGATGCTAAAAGCTTTGACCAAATATCTATTATTTAAACAAAACTGAATCTTAAATTTCCATATTTATATTCTAGTAAGATTTCCCTAAAAACACTAAAGTATCAAATGACTCCACTTTTGCTGTTTGCTGACAACTTTGAAGCCCCACCACTCCTCCTTCCCTTCTGCCCCACTCCATAGCAAGCTAATTGGAATACCCAGTGCGCTATCCTTAGGCGCTGGTGGAGGGAAGTTCAAACCACGGCTTACCCAAGCCCCACATCAAAGTCACAACAAAACCCAAGCCAGTCTCCTTTCCCTTCTCTCCTCAAGCCAATTTTAGACCAACTTTAGAGACTGCCCTGCTTTTATCTTGAATCCTTACTATGTGAGTAAAAAACATTTTCATGTGTGGTATCATCAGTCTCTGTGTTCTGATGATTTTGGGTGTGTGCGAGAGTATATTTCACCTTTGCAAAATGGCCACAAAAAAAGACGTAGATCTAAGTTTCAATGTATTTTCATAAAACTGTTCCTTCCCAATCTCTACGAATAAAGCCGCCCTCCTGCTCGCTTCTCCTGTGCATCCCTTGCCTATATTTGCACCGCGATTTTGTCTTGAAGATTCTTCCTTCTGAAACTGCCTCTTGGCAGTACCCCTCTTTCCACCCCATCTTCCTTTCAAGCCTGCAGTCTTTCCCTGTCCTGTTTTAAAAAATGTGTGACAGTATACATTTCTTGGTCTTCTTACAGTAAGAAAAAATTGTTACACAGGAACATATGGATTTGCATTTTTTAAAATTAATTATTTTTGTAGAGCAGGGTTTGGCAAACTTTGTAAAGACTCAGTTAGTGAATATTTTAGGCTCATGGGCCATATCGTCTCTGTCATAACTATTCAACTCTACAATTGTAACACAAATGCTGCCATAGACAATACAGGAAGAAGGAGGTATGACTGTGTTCCAATCATATTTTTTAAAAACAAATAAGGTGCTTTTATTGCCTTTGAGTTGCAGTATCATAATCTATGTATTATAAACATGAGGTTTACTATAATGAGGGAGCAAGCCAAAAAGAGACAAAAAATGTCTCAACTGGTATCAACTTATTTTAATTAGCTTTCTTAAATCTTCAACACTAAAAAAAAACACATGAGAAATAGGCTAAATAATAACAATATACATGTTGTAAGTGAACACAGTCATGCTTTTAATTTTGTTCAACACCATATTCCAAAGTGTTCATAGAAAACACTAGGTATCCAATAACTATTTATTAAGTAAATGAAGGGAAAGCTCATCACCCATGACTGAACACATCATATCAGTCTTAAAAGTATATATTTGGTATTTAAAATGAGAAATCAGTAAACCTTCTGTTGAGGTAACTCAGAATATATCCAACTAAAAATATGAATTAATTAGTTTATCTTTCAGGTATGTTATTACCGTAAACTAACTGATCCATGTGAACTGTGAACTGATGTTCGAATTAAATAGCTCTAGCAACGTAATTTTCTTTTTCAAATAAATATCGTCCTCTATTATTCTAAATACACTTAGGGTTTCTAAGAAAAATTCACTCATTTTAGCAGATTTAAAACATCACTTTGTAACTGCAATAACACATTCCATTGAGCAATTCTGAAATAACTGTAAAGCTTTGCTAGTTAAATATGTTTGGCTTTGGTTTGTGCCCAGTAGCACATCCAAAAGATTAGATCTCCAATAAAACAAGCCAAAGCCTTCAAAGTGATATTAAGCTAGCTGCCTACTTTGCTTTTGATTGTTTGTTTCCTAAAAATTCTCATTTGGATCTAAATGTGATCTCTGAATAAGGCTTTATTTTGAAATGTAACCCTTAGTTTTTTTTTTATCTTTGTTATGAAGATTTTGGAATGAGAGTAATGACCTTCTTTATCTTTATTTTGATTTCTACTTTCTATCTGAACCCAGGAATAAGCAATTTTGCAACAGAAACTCATGAAAAATGAGTTGTATATGCATATGAGGAAGATAGAGAAGGTTTTCCTATAATAGTTATCTATTTATATTATAGACAAATTCATGTTTATCTCCAATATCGCTGACATCAACACCATTAGGAATATAAAGGCAAGGGAGATGTGTGATTTCTGCATTTATAGAGTTTTGAGTTAGTAGAAAATCCAGAACATATATGGAATATTACAATATATGGCATGATAAGATACTATTTTGAGATGCTTGTCTAAGTTTGCATATATATATATATATATGCGCGCACACATATACACACACACACACATCTTAATTTTTTCTGTCTTCCTATTCAATCATCTTCAGATTTCCTTGCCTTTGAGAGGAGAAAGTGAAAAAGAAATAATACAGAAATAGCCTTAATATCTCTCTAGTTTTTCATTTTAAAAGTCTAAGCCCTTAGGAAAGTTTAGTGTTTCTGTGGCACGGGTTTAAGAAAGATGATTCCAGTCACATGACTACAGTCATTTGCATAAATACTTGTATGAATGTGATACCACCTGCCGTATTAGCAGAAGGTAACTACTCTGAGTATGAGGGAGAAGAGAAAAGTGAAAAATATGGGGTTCTCTTAGACTACCAAAATTATCTGGGAGAGCTCAAGACCCTTGAGAAAAAAAAAGTATATAAATATATAAATATAAATGTATATTATACATATAAATATGTAATGAAATAAAGCCAGGTGCAGTGGATCACACGTCTAATCCCAGCACTTTGGGAGGCCGAGATAGGTGGATCACGAGGTCAGGAGATCGAGACCATCCTGGCCAACATAGTGAAACCTCATCTCTACTAAAATCACAAAAATCAGCTGGGCATGGTGGCTCACGGCTGTAGTCCCAGCTACTTGGGAGGCTGAGGCAGGAGAATCACTTGAACCCAGGAGGCAGAGGTTGCTGTGAGCTGAGATTGCGCCACTGCACTCCAGCCTGGTGACAGAGCAAGACTCCATCTCAAAATAAATAAATAAATAATAAAATAAATAAAATAAAAATGTAAATAATTGTATGCATAGATATAAAATATATAAATATATATGTGGAGATGGGTCTATTCTGTCTTTACAGAGTTTCTGTTCTCAAGTCTGGCATAATGTGAAGCAAAAAATTACCACACACTATGACCAGTACCCAGCAGGACATTGACCATCTCAGCTTCTCCCATGAAGGCCTGATATACCCTGCAGATCTCATGATAGTACAGAAGTCAACCCTTCCAACAAAATAGTCTAAACTTCAGTAGAAAGAGGACGGCAAACTCAGTGAAATATTCCTCCATGCTGTCTAAAGTAACTGAAGTTAACATTTAAATCACCTTGTAAAATATTTAGTCTCTTGGATACCTGGTTTTGAGGTCTGTGATTTATATTTTCTAGAAATATAGCAACTACTCTGATGTAAGATGTGTGGAACATATAATTCTGACCTAATTAGTAATTAGGAAGGTTGTCAGGGCTCAGGAACTGCAGTAAGTTTTAGCTTAAACAACTGGATATATGATGGTGCTACTCACATAGATAAAACTGAGGAGAATGAAAGTGTATCTTTTTGGGAGTGGGACGTATTTTAGGCAATACCAAGGTATGTGAGTGAGTGTATGTGAAATTTCAGTTTGTAAGTGTTTGGCACAGAAGTATCAGCTGATGCTATGGAATGCAGTATTACAGGGAAATTGTGTAGACTGAGGAGAATGAGAAATGCAATGCAAGACCCCACAGAATTTTAGTTTTGAAGACATGAGCAGGGGAGGAGTATTCCACATTAGAGACAGCGAGTGAGCAGTCAAAGCTTTTTGGTGGAAATTCTGATGGGGTTTTATATCAGAAGCCAAAAACGTGCTTTATAAGAGGAACACTGGTGCTGACAGTTCCAAATGATGTCAAGAGATCAAGTAAAATAAGGAAACGAGTGTGTCTTTTGGATTTGACTAGAAAGTCATTAGTGACTTGGAATTAAACAGTTTTAGAGGAGTCACTTTATCAGTGACTGCTAATGGGAAATAGAAAAATAAAAAAGCATTGCTTCTTTTCTCAAGAAGTTTAGAATTTCCAACTTTCTGTAGCATTTCTGTTTCCCAGTGTCCTGCCATAAAAAGTAAGAATAAATAGCTATATAAGTTAAAAATATCACTGCTATGTGTGGACGATATTGGTGCAGCAAAAGGGGAAGAACCTTGTTGTACTGATTGAGGACAAATTGAAACTTACTATGTATCGTATAAAGAAACATTCTTTTGTATCTGGAAGCTACTTTGCAACATGCTCAATGTAGAATTTTCTATTTCTGTGATTTATGCAATTATATATTATGAATTTTGTGTTTTTGCAGTATATTATTCAGGTAATATCTGCCATCTCTCTGCTTAAAGTACTCTTTATTTTACTTACTATAAAAGTCAATAATTCTAGTAGAGCTTTCAAGTCCCTGAATGATGTGGCCCACCTCATCTCTTATGACTCTCCACTTGTCTCTTCTCGTGTCTCAAAAAAATATGCACCTTGGTCATACAAGCCATTTTTCAAGTGCTTCATAGTCATATGCAGTTAGAGCCTAACAACTGAACAGAGTATTGCATAAAAGGTGGCTAGGTTGGTACTATGGGGACTAAGAACACTAACTAGTATAGGCTTAGTGCTTAATAAACATTCATTGGCTGAACAAATCTCACTTCTTTTTGGTGTGTTATGCCCAAGATAATTACAATATGTGGAAATTAGCATCAACTATTTCTAATAGAAAAAAATGTTTCTGTTTCTTCGTGGAGTTTTGACTGATAAAAATGTGATGCCATCAAAATATATCTAGTTCTTTGTGCCACAAATAAATGCAACATTTTAATTGTAATAATTTCTAAGGTATGTCTTCTAAACATTCATAGGTGTGAGTTGTTTAGGCCATTGAACACAAATATGTTTCTTCTACTGTCTTTATATTAGTAGGCACACACACACACACACACACACACACACACACACACTTTCAAGTTTTAGAGAGCCATAAAATATACAGTAGTAGTAGGAGATAAAACTTAACAATAAGGTTAGAAAGAAATTGAAAATAAGTTTCTGATTGACTAACGAATACTCCATTTGATATAGTGCATTTACAATATGATTTTGAGTCTCACTTTGTAAGAATTAAAGCAAGACAAATTTTGCCTATTTTCAAACCACCTACATTTCCTTTAGAGGAATAAGCCAGGGATCATACCTGGTGTGGACAAAAAATACTCAATTTATATAATCACTATCCTGAGTTCCAGGAGAATAAAATCAAGGCACCATGAATCTAATTATATTAAAATGTAAAGTTCTTATGACATTGCCCAGCATATAATAGGTTCTCAGTATACATTATATTTATTTATTTACTTATTTCCTAAAGTGTGTTAGCATACTTAGCTCTAGTATATGATGCACATATAATGTAGTTCTCATTTTTAAGGATAATTATGATAACACTATAAATCAATATAGTTTATTTCTGTGATAGTCAATTAAATTTTAACCTTTAAAATGATGTGTGAAAATAATCCTCTGAGTTTTGTGTATGGAAGTCCTAATATCCTTTGTATAAATGAGCCTGAGAGACTTCAAATATATGTCTTAGTAGGACTGTATATCAAGGTATGTCATTTTTTTCTGGCTAAGATTAAATCTATCTGGAGATTTTCAAATTAATATTCCTGCTACAACTTATTTGATTTAGTATAGTTTTGATGACTATTTAGAAAGTTTTGCATAACATATACACAAAAACAAAAATCTCCTTCCTATTACACAGTATGTATCATATTGGCTCTTTTTTTCTTTAACACTAAATGATAAGAGAATTAAATAGCAGGTACATGGCAATATGGTATGAAAAGTTAAAATAATGACATAAGAAGCTCTGACCTCATATACTAAAATTTTATGTTATTTACTAATAGCATTATACAAATTGCTCCCTAGGAAAATTAATTTTGTCCTATGTAAGCTGATGACGTAAGATTCACATGATTACATAATGGTCCATTCCAGCAATGTCAACATCTCTGCACATACAGTAACAGTTTTCCTGTCATGGTAATGCCATATGTTGCCCTTATAATCTCATCTAAAGGAGTGAAGTGTAGCGGATAGTACACGACAATTAATAAAAATTTTGAACAAAAAAGCACTAAATTTTAAGGTAAATCCCATGTTTATTGAACAGAATCAGTTCTTTTTTTTGTTTTAATGTAATGGAGAAGAAATACATAAATTGGAGAACAGTGTTAAAAAATTAATATTTACTGATTACCATATTTTTGACAACAGTGTAGTAGGTTGCTTTGAATCAGGCCTATTTATGAGCACAACTAAAAAAATCTGTAAAAAATTAACAACAATTAAAGAAAGCAACAACAACAATAACAAATTCTTAGATGGTAGAGAGGACTTGGATACCAGGATCTCAGACAGAAAAACAAAAACAAAAACAGAAAAAAAGAATTTGATATTTAGCACTTCTGTTTCATTGAGTCAGTTGTCAGTTTGAAACCTGAGAAGAAGCTGGGCGGAGCATTCTACAGTTTCATGGGCTGAAGGCGCAGAAGTTGTAGCTCAGGACTTATAAAAGTAGAGGTAACTAGGAATAGACCCCAGGTTTTCAGCTAAGACTCTGAAGGACTACACAATTGTAATGAAATTCAGATAGAATGATTCTCATAAGGAATAAAACCCAGCAGCAAATCAGCTCCGAACTATTAACTGAGAGGAATTAAGGTAAAAATAGATAATAAAAACTTATGAGAAACATTAAAAAATATTTAATATTGCTAAACATTTTTTAAATAAGTAATTACAATGGAAACTGGAAAATAGTTTGGACTAAGTGATAGTCAACATATGGTCTATCAAAATTCATGGAATTCTAATAAGGGAGTGTTTAGAAGACAAGCTATAGCTTTAAAAACATGATAGAACATTAGCATGGTTGAAAAAGACAATAATCGGAGTGTACATCTCAAAATCACAAAAATGAAAAATTAAACTCAAAAACAAATAAATGTTGATAATAGAGGCAAGAATTAAATAATAGATTGCAGACGTTAAATAGAATCCAGAAAATCATAATTGGGTCTTAGGAAGGAACACAATTGACAAAATACTGAAGAGGCTATCAAGACAAAAAGGAGGAAAAATTGCACTGTTTAAAAATTTTTTCAAGTATAAAAATGTGTAAAATTTGGGTTTTTTACTATTGATTTGTAGTAAGCAGCTCTGAATATAAAGGTACAACCATGCAATAAAATGTTCTTCAACTGCCAAAAATGTTGTGAAATAGTGAAAAATATGCCACTCAATTCAGGAACAAATTGGCAATGATCTTTTGTATTCAATATTGTGCTGAAATTTGTAATTGGTGCAACAGGATAAGAAAAAGATGTAAATCTGCTAGTTATTAAGCTTTTCTTTTTTTTTCCTTTAAGTACTAAACCTTTATCTATACTTCATTTTGTGATTTTGGGTTTGGGAGTAGGAAAACCACATTTCTAACTTGCCAGCCAGCTTCCTATAGGTTGTGCCAGTAAGAGGACCTGCAATGCAAAACTGGAGGAAGATGCCGGAACTTACATTCAGTTGCTTTCTATAAGCTTTCTGACTACTTTTCTTACTCTAAGTATCAGACTGTAAATGATTCTCATTCCAGGAGCAACAGTTTATTACTGATTCCGGTATGCAACTCATTTACAACTTTAAGTCCCAGACTAATTGTGCCCCACATTAGAGAGACATCAGCAGCAAATGCAGCAAGTTCTGCTTTTCAGATATTTAGATCGATCCCAGCCCCACAGAGCACTCCTATGAACTTAGAGATACTAGAACCAGCTGAGCTGTGCCCACTGTGTAGAAACAGTTCAATGCAGCCTGTCTTCTAAGTTTTATAAATTCCACCTCTTCACTTTGCAGTAGGGAGAGGGTAGCTGCTGCTTCTCATTTGCTACCTGTATAATATCTTAGTTTTCTTTTCTTACCTTTTCAGTTACCTATGTAACAAATTTATATGTAATTAAAATGTGTTAACTTTTCTTTGTTCAAATAAGTGGTGCAGGTTCTGTATCTTCATTAGTCCCTGAGCTATATAGAAATATTAAACCTAAATAAATAAAACATCAATATTCACAATGTTCATGAGTTTGTGCATAAAAATCCAAAATGATCTACAATCTCACTATAAGAATTAATACATGAATTTAGTAAAGTTGCTGGATACAAAGTTACAATACAAAAATTAAAACTTAAAAAACATATAACTAAACCATCAAATACTTTGGAATAAGTCTGAAAAAAATGTGTTTATTTCTGCTACACAGGGAAAATTATTAAGATAAAATTTAGAAACTTTAAATAAAGGAAAGGTTATATATACCACATTCATGGATTGGAGGATTGTAATGATATCAGTTCTTTCTATGTTCTTGCTGCTTCTTTAAAATCGGGTTTGAGTTTTAGGATTTTACGAGGCTTTAAACCATGTGGGCTGCGAATGATGGGTAGGTGTTAGATTCGGTTCTTGGTTATCCATTCATGCATATAGCTTATTCACACAATGCCCAAGTCCCCATACTCCATTCATGCCTGGAAGCTGTGTGGTTCTTTCTTTATTGTGCAGTTCACTAAGCAGCCAATCTACACTGCAACTTTGTCTAGTTACTTTCAGGCCATAATACATGGTATCAGAATACTGCTGCCCTCTCCTTTGTTGACTCAGAGACATCTTGTTTTTTCCTCTCAGCACCCTAACCCAGACGAATTTCTTTTAAACTGTGAGAGGCAACCTTTCTCCCCTCAAAGCAGTCTGCCTAATCTAGAAATACTCTTTTTTGTATTTTTCTCACATATTCTTTTCAACACTGTAAGACATACTTCCTGGCAAAAAAAAGTCTCCCTAGGACAAGGAAGCTCAGAACCTACTACCTTTTAGAAGGTGGCCAAGAAATTTGGAAAAATGCAAGAGTAAGAAAAAGAGTTGCAATAAAAACTGTCATAAAAATACACACAGATTGAGAGTTTTATGATTATGTTTAAACTTTTTAAGAGTTAAAACATACTTTTATTTTTAATCTCCCTGAGATGTCTTGTGCATGAAAATAAAAGATGGTTAGGATATTGTGAGCAATGCAGTTCACACATCTCTTCTAATTGTAAGAATCCTTGGTTGCATTTCTACCAAAACATTCAAAGGGACAAAGATCTTTAAATAAATATAGTTTGAAAGGTTTTCTCATCTCTCTCAAATTCAGCAACATCTTATAAAAAAACTAAAATGTCTAAATATTTTATTATATCTGTGATGAAAGGGATTTTATTTTGGGTGTCTAGAATGAGAATATGTGGGTCATTCCAAGATTTTTGCAACAGAGATAAAGCAAAAGGTCATAAAAGGAGTACAGGTAATTAAAATAAATACAAATGTATTAAACACAGAGGCTATGGGTCAATGAAATATTCATGATCTGTTTATAATACAATTAGCATATCATAATAGTCATTAATAAATTACTTCTAATCAAATTTATTTTAGTTGATGTACTTCAGCATTTTTCTTATTTCACTATTAAGAGAATGAGAATTTCTTACTGACTTTTGAAAAAGAAAACAGAAAAAAGAGAAACAAAAACCAGTACTAGTTAACTAGAGAAAGAATGTCAGTCTTAGGAGAATACTGTTTTTTTTCTTTGTCTTTTAAGCCTCACAAGAAGCCAAAATCAAAACTCATATGGGAATCAGATTTTTCCTTACATCTCCTAATGAGCTGACCTATAATCACCCTGTCTACCCTCTAGAGAAAAAATACCTGTTTGAGAAGTCCCTGGCAACATAACAATCATAGGCATATGTTTTTATGTATTTAAGGAAAATATAGAATTTATTTCTTTTTTAAATTTTATTATTATACTTTAAATTTTAGGGTACATGTGCACAACATGCAGGTTTGTTACATAGGTATACATGTGCCATGTTGGTGTGCTGCACCCATTAACTCATCATTTAGCATTAGGTATATCTCCTAATGCTATCCCTCTCCCCTCCCCCCACGCCACAACAATCCCCGGTGTGTGATGTTCCCCTTCCTGTGTCCATGTGTTCTCATTGTTCATTTCCCACCTATGAGTGAGAACATGTGGTGTTTGGATTTTTGTCGTTGGGGTAGTTTGCTGAGAATGATGGTTTCCAGTTTCATCCATGTCCCTACAAAGGACATGAACTCATCATTTTTTATGGCTGCATAGTATTCCATGGTATATATGTGCCACATTTTCTTAATCCAGTCTATCATCGTTGGACATTTAGGTTGGTTCCAAGTGTTTGCTATTGTGAATAGTGCCACAATAAACATACGTGTGCATGTGTCTTTATAGCAGCATGATTTATAAACCTTTGGGTATATACCCAGTAATGGGATGGCTGGGTCAAATGGTATTTCTAGTTCTAGACCCCCGAGGAATTGCCACACTGACTTCCACAATGGTTGAACTAGTTTACAGTCCCACCAACAGTGTAAAAGTGTTCCTATTTCTCCACATCCTCTCCAGCACCTCTTGTTTCCTGACTTTTTAATGATCGCCATTCTAACTGGTGTGAGATGATATCTCATAGTGGTTTTGATTTGCATTTCTCTGATGGCCAGTGATGATGAGCATTTTTTCATGTATTTTTTGGCTGCATAAATGTCTTCTTTTGAGAAGTGTCTGTTCATGTCCTTCGCCCACTTTTTGATGGGGTTGTTTGTTTTTTTCTTGTAAATTTGTTTGAGTTCATTGTAGATTCTGGATATTAGCCCTTTGTCAGATGAGTAGATTGCAAAAATTTTCTCCCATTCTGTAGGTTGCCTGTTCACTCTGATGGTAGTTTCTTTTGCTGTGCAGAAGCTCTTTAGTTTAATTAGATCCCATTTGTCAATTTTGGCTTTAGTTGACATTGCTTTTGGTGTTTTAGACATGAAGTCCTTGCCCATGCCTGTGTCCTGAATGGTATTGCCTAGGTTTTCTTCTAGGGTTTTTATGGTTTTAGGTCTAACATGTAAGTCTTTAATCCATCTTGAATTAATCTTTGTATAAGGTGTAAGGAAGGGATCCAGTTTCAGCTTTCTACATATGGCTAGCCAGTTTTCCCAGCACCATTTATTAAATAAGGAATCCTTTCCCCATTGCTTGTTTTTGTCAGGTTTGTCAAAGAACAGATAGTTGTAGATATGCAGCATTATTTCTGAGGGCTCTGTTCTGTTCCGTTGGTCTATATCTCTGTTTTGGTACCAGTACCCTGCTGTTTTGGTTACTGTAGCCTTGTAGTATAGTTTGAAGTCAGGTAGTGTGATGCCTCCAGCTTTGTTCTTTTGGCTTAGGATTGACTTGGCGATGCGGGCTCTTTTTTGGTTCCATATGAACTTTAAAGTCATTTTTTCCAATTCTGTGAAGAAAGTCATTGGTAGCTTAATGGGGATGGCACTGAATCTATAAATTACCTTGGGCAGTATGGCCATTTTCACAATATTGATTCTTCCTACCCATGAGCATGGAATGCTCTTCCATTTGTTTGTATCCTCTTTTATTTCATTGAACAGTGGTTTGTAGCTCTCCTTGAAGAGGTCCTTCACGTCCCTTGTAAGTTGGATTCCTAGGTATTTTATTCTCTTTGAAGCAACTGTGAATGGGAGTTCACTCATGATTTGGCTCTCTGTCTGTTATTGGTGTATAAGAATGCTTGTGATTTTTGTACATTGATTTTGAATCCTGAGACTTTGCTGAAGTTGTTTATCAGCTTGAGGAGATTTTGGGCTGAGACAGTGGGGCTTTCTAGATATACAATCATGTCGTCTGCAAACAGGGACAATTTGACTTCCTCTTTTCCTAATTGAATACCCTTTATTTCCTTCCCCTGCCTGATTGCCTTGGCCAGAACTTCCAACACTATGTTGAATAGGAGTGGTGAGAGAGGGCATCCCTGTCTTGTGCCCATTTTTAAAGGGAATGCTTCCAGTTTTTGCCCATTCAGTATGATATTGGCTGTGGGTTTGTCATAGATAGCTCTTATTATTTTGAGATACGTCCCATCAATACCTAATTTATTGAGAGTTTTTAGCATGAAGTGTTGTTGAATTTTGTCAAAGGCCTTTTCTGCATCTGTTGAGATAATCATGTGGTTTTTGTCTTTGGTTCTGTTATATGTTGGATTACATTTATTGATTTGTGTATGTTGAACCAGGCTTGCATCCCAGGGATGAAGCCCACTTGATCATGGTGGATAAGCTTTTTGATGTGCTGCTGGATTCGGTTTGCCAATATTTTATTGAGGATTATTGCATCAATGTTCATCAAGGATATTGGTCTAAAATTCTCTTTTTTGGTTGTGTCTGTGCCAGGCTTTGGTATCAGGATGATGCTGGCCTCATAAAATGAGATAGGGAGGATTCTCTCTTTTTCTGTTGATTGGAATAGTTTCAGAAGGAATGGTACCAGCTCCTCTTTGTACCTCTGGTAGAATTTGGCTTGTGAATCCATCTGGTCCTGGACTTTTTTTGGTTGGTAAGCTATTGATTATCGCCTCAATTTCAGAGCCTGTTATTGGTCTATTCAGAGATTCAACTTCTTCCTGGTTTAGTCTTGGGAGGATGTGTGTGTCCAGGAATTTATCCATTTCTTCTAGATTTTCTAGTTTATTTGCATAGAGGTGTTTATAGTATTCTCTGATGGTAGTTTGTATTTCTGTGGGATCGGTGGTGATATTCCCTTTATCATTTTTTATTGCGTCTATTTGATTCTTCTCTCATTTCTTCTTTCTTAGTCTTGCTAGCGGTCTATCAATTTTGTTGATCTTTTCAAAAAACCAGCTCCTGGATTCACTAATTTTTTGAAGGGTTTTTGGTCTCTCTGTTTCCTTCAGTTCTGCTCTGATCTCAGTTATTTCTTGCCTTCTGCTAGCTTTTGAATGTGTTTGCTCTTGCTTTTCTAATTCTTTTAATTGTGATGTTAGGGTGTCAATTTGAGATCTTTTCTGCTTTCTCTTGTGGGCATTTAGTGCTATAAATTTCCCTCTACACACTACTTTGAATGTGTCCCACAGATTCTGGTCTGTTGTGTCTTTGTTCTCTTCGGTTTCAAAGAAAATCTTTATTTCTGCCTTCATTTCATTATTTACCCAGTAGTCATTCAGGAGCAGGTTGTTCAGTTTCCGTGTAGTTGAGTGGTTTTCAGTGAGTTTCTTAATCCTGAGTTCTAGTTTGATTGCACTGTGGTCTGAGAGACAGTTTGTTATAATTTCTGTTCTCTTACATTTGCTGAGGAGTGCATTACTTCCAACTATGTGGTCAGTTTTGGAGTAGGTGTGGTGTGGTGCTGAATAGAATGTATATTCTGTTGATTTGGGGTGGAGAGTTCTGTAGATGTCTGTTAGGTCCGCTTGGTGCAGAGCTGAGTTCAATTCCTGGGTATCCTTGTTAACTTTCTGTCTCGTTGATCTGTCTAATGTTGACAGTGGGGTGTTAAAGTCTCCCATTATTATTGTGTGGGAGTCTAAGTCTCTTTGTAGACTTGGTGACTAAGGACTTGCTTTATGAATCTGGGTGCTTCTGTATTGGGTGCATCTGTATTGGGTGCATATATATTTATGATAGTTAGCTCTTCTTGTTGAATTGATCCCTTTACCATTATGTAATGGCCTTCTTTGTCTCTTTTGATCTTTGTTGGTTTAAAGTCTGTTTTATCAGAGACTAGGATTGCAAGCCCTGCCTTTTTTTGTTTTCCATTTGCTTGGTAGATCTTCCTCCATCCCTTTATTTTGAGCCTATGTGTGTCTCTGCACATGAGATGGGTTTCCTGAATACAGCACACTGTTGTGTCTTGACTCTTTATCCAGTTTGCCAGTCTGTGTCTTTTAATTGGAGCATTTAGCCCATTTACATTTAAAGTTAATATTGTTATGTGTGAATTTGATCCTGTCATTATGACGTTAGCTGGTTATTTTGCTCGTTAGTTGATGCAGTTTCTTCCTAGCCTTGATGGTCTTTACAATTTGGCATGTTTTTGCAGTGGCTGGTACCAGTTGTTCCTTTCCATGTTTAGTGCTTCCTTCAGGAGCTCTTTTAGGGCAGGACTGGTGGTGACAAAATCTCTCAGCATTTGCTTGTCTGTAAAGTATTTTATTTCTCCTTCACTTATGAAGCTTAGTTCGGCTGGATATGAGATTCTGGGTTGAAAATTCTTTTCTTCAAGAATGTTGAATATTGGTCCCCACTCTCTTCTGGCTTGTAGAGTTTCTGCTAAGAGATCAGCTGTTAGTCTGATGGGCTTCCCTTTGTGAGTAACCCGACCTTTCTCTCTGGCTGCCCTTAACATTTTTTCCTTCATTTCAACTTTGGTGAATCTGATAATTATGTGTCTTGGAGTTGCTCTTCTCGAGGAGTATCTCTGTGGCGTTCTCTGTATTTCCTGAATTTGAATGTTGGCCTGCCTTACTAGAATGGGGAAATTCTCCTGGATAATATCCTGCAGAGTGTTTTCCAACTTGGTTCCATTCTCCCCGTCACTTTCAGGTACACCAATCAGACATAGATTTGGTCTTTTCACATAGTCCCATATTTCTTGGAGGTTTTGTTCATTTCTTTTTATTCTTTGTTCTCTAAACTTCTCTTCTCGCTTCATTTCATTCATTTCATCTTCCATCACTGATACCCTGTCTTCCAGTTGATGGCGTTGGCTACTGAGGCTTCTGCAGTCTTCACGTAGCTCTCGTGCCTTGGTTTTCAGCTCCATCAGGTCCTTTGAGGACTTCTCTGCTTTGGTTATTCTAGTTATCCATTCGTCTAATTTTTTTTCAAAGCTTTTAACTTCTTTGCCATTGGTTCGAATTTCCTCCTGTAGCTCAGAGTAGTTTGATCGTCTGAAGCCTTCTTCTCTCAACTTGTCAAAGTCATTCTCTGTCCAGCTTTGTTCCGTTGCTAGTGAGGAGCTGCATTCCTTTGGAGGAGGAGAGGCACTCTGATTTTTAGAGTTTCCAGTTTTTCTGCTCTGTTTTTTCCCATCTTTGTGGTTTTATCTACTTTTGGTCTTTGATGATGGTGACATACAGATGGGTTTTTGGTGTGGATGTCCTTTCTGTTTGTTGATTTTCCTTTTAGCAGACAGGACCCTCAGCTGCAGGTCTGTTGGAGTTTGCTAGAGGTACACTCCAGACCCTGTTTGCCTGGGTATCAGCAGCGGTGGCTGCAGAACAGCAGATATTGGTGAACCACAGATGCTGCTGCCTGATGGTTTCTCTGGAAGTTTTGTCTCAGAGGAGTACCCAGCTGTGTGAGGTGTCAGTCTGCCCCTACTCGGGGGTGCCTCCCAGTTAGGCTAGTTGGGGGTCAGGGACCCACTTGAGGAGGCAGTCTGCCTGTTCTCAGATCTCAAGCTGCGTGCTGGAAGAACCACTACTCTCTTCAAAGCTGTCAGAGAGGGACATTTAAGTCTGCAGAGGTTACTGCTGTCTTTTTGTTTGTCTGTGCCCTGCCCCCAGAGGTGGAGCCTACAGAGGCAGGCAGGCCTCCTTGAGCTATGGTGGGCTCCACCCAGTTCGAGCTTCCGGGCAGCTTTGTTTGCCTAATCAAACAACTAACTCGGCAATGGCAGTCACCCCTCCCCCAGCCTCGCTGCTGCCTTGCAGTTTGATCTGGGACTGCCGTGCTAGCAATGAGCGAGACTCTGGGCATAGGACCCTCTGAGCCATGTGCGGGATATAATCTTCTGGTGTGCCGATTTTTAAGCCCGTTGGAAAAGCGCAGTATTAGGGTGGGAGTGACCCGATTTTCCATTTTGTTTTAAAGGATAGCAGAAGAAGTTATCAATAAGTATAGGGGGATGGGCTCAAGAGAACAATAATTTTGAAGAGAGAAGTAACAAGTATTCTCCTCTGATGATGTGTTAGAGACAGAAAGACTGTTTCTATAGAGACAGAAGAGAATATTACTTGAGGATATTCTAGACAGTGAGATCTAGTAGAGGGATAGGAATAGAATTCATTTAATACATATGAATTATTTTTAAAATGGCAAATAAAAATTTGTAAGCTATTTCTATACTATATTCACTTTCAAGATTAAGAGTGAATGTTCATTGAATTACCATTATTGTACTATATTTAACCAAGAAGAGTTCAACCTAACAGTAGTAAAAGTAGTGATAACAGCGGCCACAATAGTAGTACTAAGATTTGATTCATAAATAATGAGGAATTTGATGGTGAATAATTTTCAGTCTCATGTTTAATTAAGTAATATGTGTGCATCTTTAGAACAAGAACAAGAAATTTTGCCACTCAAATACTGTCTCTGCTGATATACATGTAGGATTTCCAGTGGCAGTGAGAGAGTAGCAGAAAGTTGGATTAACTGATATCTTAAGATGCCTTTTTCTTGTAAAATAATACTATGTCGAAAAATAAGTAGACAATTTGCAGCTCCTCAATGAAAAACTGAAAGTTTAAACTACATTTTAATGCTAATTGAAAGGAATTCAGATAGGTATCTATACATAAATACTGAGAACTCTAGAATAAAATGTAATTAAATTATTGCTTGTAAGATTAAAACATTTATATATTTGAAAACTTTAAATATATGTGTATGTTGTATTTGGCTTTAGAAAATAAACTGCATGTAACTAATATACCAGAATCTTCGTATTATATTATTAATTCATTTACATTTTTCTCAACATGGACATAAGCAATTTATTAAATACTAACAGTTTTCCAGCCAACTTTTGGTTTTTCTTAGTCACTCATCTACATATTTTGGGGGAACAGAAACAAATGACAAGAATGCCTGATATGTTTGTCATTTGAAAATTTAAAAATGTTTCAAACATAAACTAGTTCATTTGATGCTTTCAGAAACTTTGGATTATTTGTTTCTTGTACCCATTTTACAGATGACAAGAAACAGCATCAAAAAGACTGAGTACCCAAATCTGCACAGTTAGTAAGTGACAAAGCAGAAGTGCCAAACCTGGACATGGGAATCCAGATTCTGTGTGCTTTCTATTCTTGCACATATAACAGAAGTTTTCTGAAAAGTCAGTTTAGAAACTAAACAAGATTTGTAAACTATGGCATCATAATGCTAGCACCGATATTCGTGATAAAGTCAGTTTCAACTGGTTAGCTGCTAACTTTGAACTTAATTCTGCCTCACTTGATGGAATAATGAAGAGAAGAGAGAGGTGGCAGCGCAGTAGTCTTTCTTTGTCAAAATAGTTTGTTCAAAAAATGACTGAACCTAATAGAAAACTGTAACATATCCCCAAAGTACATAAGTATTTAATTATAAGTCTAAGAATAACTCTTATTTTTGGCCTAGTATTTTTGAAACTGGGGCATATGGTGAGCTTAAAATTTTTCCAATATCTTTATGTTAACCTAATTTTATTAAAACATTTTAGAATTATTTCCCAAATATTTAGTGTTTTTTGTCTAAATACGAAAGAGATGGAACATCGGATACATATAGCAGCAATAGCAATACTTGTTTTGATTTTAATGATATATGCTGTTGAAGGATGATTTATTTCCTTTAAGTCATATAATAAAATCTATTTAATTATGTTATAATCAATGCAGTTCTAAGCAGTTCTAAACTTGAGAGATATAAAGGAAGTAAAAGGAATGATTCCTGATTTCAATGACTTTACTATGTAATTGAGAAGGTAAAATACTTTGTATATAATTATAAAAATGAGAAGACTGTTCATAATTAAATTGTAACATGCCATATCAGAGCCTTAAGGGCAATAGGAATTAAGAGGCAAGAGAATGAGAGCAATCTTGGAAGTCAATGCTAGCTGAGGGCAAGGGACATGACCTTGACTACTTCTGTATAACCAAAGTAGATTTACACAGGATTAAATGTTAAATCAGCTCTGTTTGTCTCTGTCTAGATAAGATGCCACCATGAGCACAGCCAGATGTATATTTACTTTTCCCAATACTTAACTGCATTGACAAGCCCTGGTTACTGTTACAACCAATATTTGAAGATAATTTGTATATTTGAAGATTATAACTAAAAAGTAATAAAATATTAGTAATAATGGAACAATTTGAAATTGACATTTGCCTACTGTAAGCAAAGGGTAAACTATATGTAAACATGTAATCAATAAATAACAATATTACACATTTTTGAAATCAAGGGCCAAATATGTTCAAACTGCCTTATTCAAACATGCAAAAGACACATCCTAATGTATATTCATAAACATCTGTAATGTGGCTTTTAAAAAATGTCTCAGGTGTGTGATCACTGAACCAATGATTTAAAAAATGTCTGAGGTGTGTGATCATTAGACCAAAAATTGGAAATCCATATTTGGAGACAGACAATCTGAGTGACAATGGTAAGTCACTTAGCCTATCTGAATATTTTTCTTATGAAATGATCCTAAGGACACATATATTTGAGTTGCCAAAACACTTTTGCTAATGAACACATCATAGAGAATGTTTGTGAGTCTGCTGAAGTTTGTAATACACATGTCATGTGCACTGAGCCACTGTTAGTTGTCCCTCTTCCTTATTTTTACTGCAGATTTATTCTTAATTATAATAACAAACCTGCATTTGGCATTTAATGTGTGTCAGTCTGTTTGAGAGTTTCATGTATCTTATATTAGTCATCTATTATTATCCTCATGTTTCATCTTATTATTCTCATTCTACACAGAAGGAAAGTGGTCCACAAAGCAATTGGATAGTTTTGAAAGATTACCAAGATAGTATGGACCAGAGACAGGTAGTGTGTGACAAAAATTTGATTTAATCTCAGCCCCTCTGATTCTACAACTTGAACCAGAATCATTGTGCCATAGTGCCTCTCAGGATTTTTCACCTGTAATACAATGGCTATATTTTTATCAAGTTAAGTATAAACTCATTTTTTACAGTGGAATTGGATAACATTTAAGTTTAAACTCTTTAAAAATTTTTTGAGTAATTTTAGTTTTTTTAATATAAGGATTTTCAAGTTAAAAACTTTATAAACTATCGTTTCAGTACTTAAAAATCAAGTAACAAAATGAATACTGGCAGAGCTATCTAATCATTTCTGACCCACTTTATGTTGGTCTAGAGGTAACACACATTTATATCATTGAGCATATCCTTGCCAATGCAAATAAATACAACTCTGACTCTCATAGATTATTTGTTTCTGTTTTGCTAAAAAAAAAATATATGCAATCTGCTTACGTCACCTAACATTGTTACCCTTAAAAGTTCATAGATTTAGATCTAAATTTATTTTTATCAGATTATTCTATTTAGACATATATCTCTATAAATATTAACTATCATTTATATATTTACATACTATTTCTTGATCTATACACATGTATGAAAATGTATACCAAAGGTATTATACTATGCATGCTTCCTTTCCAAGAAGCATCTCTTTTCTTCTGTCATCACAATTCATTCAACCTTTCCTGTTCTTTTCAAATTGCATTACAACTCACAACCAACATTAGCAGCTTAAGTGTACCATCCTTCACTTTTGTTTATGCTCTCTCATATGAGTATTTTGTATGCATATATTTTTGTAATATCTATAAACACAGGAACAGATATATTAATATACACATACGAATTTAGTGTTACTTGCCTTTTAAAAATACTATACAATATACAAAATTGTTTTTATATAATTTTTTTCTAAGTTAATATCTCATGAATAACCCTTGAAGTCAACTGGTATATTTTATACTACTTTTCTATTAGTTTCATAATATCCGAATGTGTTGATGTACCATTATTTTCTGATAATTTCTTTATCAATGGATTTACTGGAATACCACAGATATAGTGCTGTGATAAAGTGATAAACATAATTATATTCTCAGCCATTTGTATTTTTTGAAGTTCTTTGTGATAGATTCCCACGGATGGGACTACAGGGAAGAAGGATGGGGATGTGCGTCTTATTTTAAGCGACGTTAACAGATTGCTTTCCAGAAATGCAGCAGTAATTCACCTATCCACTAGAAATGTTTGAGAGTTCACTTGCATCTGATGTGCCATTAGGAACAGGAAATTTTTACTTAAATTTTTTTTTTAATGTCAGGAATTTTTCTAGGATCTGCCAAGATTTGTATTTTCTCTCATTAGTCCTGTCTGGAATTAGATGACCACTTCAACACACAGACTTAGGTATTTTATGAGCTCTGAGGAATTTCATCTGTTATTTCCTTAACATATCTCTCTCCTTTTATCTGTTTTCTTGTCTCCTGATATAATTGTTATCATGTGCATGCTAAGTCATTGAGTTTATCACCTACTTTTTCAAGCCTCATGGTTCTTATATTTTTTCTCTTTTTCTGTGAATTTAAATATTTTTACCACTTGTTTTTTCAGTCTGCTAATTTGAGTCTTGTTAGATACTATTTTCCTTGCAGAATGGAGACACATTTTTAAAAAACATTTTAGTGAAACTTTATGAACATGCTGTACTTAAAACTTATGAGTGTTTTTAATTTATTTATTCAAGTTATCACCTGGAGGAGGCTAGTTATCCTGATTCTTGTCTTTGATTGCAGGATTCTCTTCTGTTGTTTTCTTTTTTTTTTTTTTTTTTTTTTTTTGGTCATGTTATTTTCTGATCTTGATTTTTCTTTAAAGAAATAAACATATTAGGTAAAATTAATGTAGCATGTAATATTTGTTCCTGTCAGGTCCCAAACCAAGTGGGTCCAAGGGGATTTGGTGGACAGGTGGTGGGTTGCTGAAAGATCACTCAAGGGACTATAGGCAGGTGGGACATGGCCCTCTTCTTCTATCCCCACTCTACAGAGTCAGCAGTGCAGCTATATTACTCACAGACAATAGTGGCCCAAAGCCAGGTATGAGCTCACACAAACAGGTTACATTAAATGGCTACATAATGCACGGGGTTGTGCGCCTGCACTCCAAATCCGCTGTGTCATGGTGTACTGGATGTTTGACTCAGCCTACTCCTCACCGAAACACAGCCATTTTCCCTACAGTTCCTAGTCTCAACCCCGTCATCTCTTGACCCAAAGCATAGGTAACAGCACTCCTAAATTTGTTTTTTATCATTTGCATACATCATTAGATCATTTTATTAAATAACTAGTTACCCACAAACAGTACGTGGTCTAATTTTGCCTGTTTTTTCATCATATACATGTGTGCTGTTGTGTTCTTGCATTAGTGTGTGTATTATAATGTACACATATCATTGTCAACTTTATTTTTGGAAGTTGAGATGTATACACGTTTATGCATATAATTCTACTTTCAGCAATTTTAATGCTTTCACCAGGCATCACCACAATATCCTACAAATGTAGACTGCTTCAAATGTTTTGATAATACAGTTTTGTAATGAACATTTTCCATACATTTCTTTGAATGCATCTATGAGAGTTTCTCCAGTGCATTATATCTAGAAGGGCAGTTGTTGGATTACAGAACTCGTACATAAAATCTTTACTAGATATCATCAGGCAAATTTCTCTCTAAAGTAGTGTTATCAAAATACATACCAACCAGCAACATAGGAGAATGCCTACTGTTCCACTTCACTGCCAGCTCTCCTTGTTTCCAGACTAATTTATGTATATACACATACATTGATACATATATGCCTAATGAATATATATGTATATATACACATACACACATATGTCTTGTGTGTGTGAATATATATCTGTTATTATATCATTAGCTTTTTATTAGTGTTTGCCTCAGTTTTTTCAATGCTTTTAAAATTCTATGGCTTTATATTTTGAATCTTCCCCTTATAAACGATGTGTATACAGTATGACAATTGATATTTTAACATATTGCTTGTGAGTAATGTTATATTACTCCTTTATTATTCATATTTACAACTTCAGACCCCCTAGATTAAATCATGGCCAATCCTGCTTATTTTACAACAGTGGCTTTTATTTCCATTTTTGCTATCAGACCTTCCAGCTCTTGATAATTACAATTTTTTAAAACCAAATTATATTATTTATTTAAAATATTTATCATATTTTATCTTTTATTGTATCTATTTTTAATAAGAATTTTTTAAATGTTTAAATTCTCCGAACTCTGAAGATCAGGAGTCTATTCTTGTGAATGTAAACTCACAAGAGTTCAGGATTGCCTGCTAGGTGTCCTCGGAAAAAAGTCCAGACACAGTCTAAGATGTATTTGTAAAGTATTGCAGCAGGAAGTTTTTCAGTTCTTTATGACAGTACATGGAGAAGGTCTCTTTACTCACCAGTCTCCTGAATTTCTCCTCATCTTGGTTTGGGATGGGCTGAGGCCATTCATTCTGATTTTTGAGGCTCAGGGAGACTTGTCTTACCCTTCATGTTTCTACTTATCTTCCTTTCTCGGACCAGGGATCTCTGTGAGACAGGTGTGCTCTAAGTCATGTTATGATACTTGTGCTGGAAATGACCCATGCTGGGTGCCAGGCTCTTGTTTTATCTAGAGTAAAGAAAGACAAATAACAGCATTCTAGTTGACTCTCTCCATATCGTATTAACATACTGGAATTGGTGACTTGAACCAGAGGCCTTGAACGGGTTACACTGCCATCATCACATAACACTCCATTAAGTTTCATTTTATTGTGATATATTAGATGTGTGAGAATAGTTTTACAAATTGTGTGAATTGTGGCATGATATATAAATTGAATTGTTTCTATCTTTATTATCATAAAAGATGTGTAAACGATAGTATGGTAGGCATGTCAACTGAAATTTGTAGTTCTTTAAGAAACTATACAGAATATAATATCATTGTAAAAATATCTTGTTCATTTGTTGTGAGAATTGAGAGATCAAGGTATATGATACATATCTGTATTACTTGAACTTAACCGTGTAGAGAAAGTTCAGGTTAACCCGAATCTGCACAAGCTCAGGCCTCAATACAGCATATCTTTTCAAGCCCTTGAGTTTAAATGCTGGCTCTGAGTCTCATTACTTTGATACCTTAAAATAGCATTCAGGAGCCTAGTATACTGTATGTAAAATGAGGATAATCATACTTGCCTCATCAAAGGCACTATATTTAATACATAGCAAAATATAGAGCACAGTGTCTGGCCCATGCTAAGAACTCAATGGATGAGAGCTAAGTCAGCCTTATGTAATCAATAAACATTTAAACTTACAATGTATTTTCCAAATGTAAGAACTGTCTTTATAATTTTAATTTGAAAAAAAAAAACCAGTTATTTAATGCAGAGCATTTTAGCAGCCTAAAATAAATAGATCTTATTCTCCCCCTCACTTGTGATGCTATGTGCAAAGGAATAAGATATAAAGAAGTATACTCAGGATTATCTCATATGCAGTTCTTCTGAAATGAAAACATAATAGGCATGTGGGGTAGATGATGATAAACTGATTTAACTGTTGCTATCAAGTACTGGTTGATTACCAGAGGTGAAGACCTTACAAGGAGAGGCTAAGAGTTAAAATAATCAAATCAGGTCTTTTTTTTCATATTATCATCAGCATATTAGACATGGAAAAGAAAAATCCAAGGGACGTAACTGTTGTAGTATAAGAGGAATAAAAGAAATAAAATTGTTAACAGTAAGTTCTTAAAAGAAAACTCTCACAAATATGGCTTCACCTCCATATACTTCATGCACTAATTAATTTTTTATGTCTGTTATGGAAAGAGTTTTTGCTATTTAATTATTATGAAACTTTGATATGTTCATAAAAACTATTGAAAAAACCACTTTCTCCCTATTACCCACCTTGTTATGTTTATGTTATGCAATATGATACTCTACTGAATAAAAGTTAATAATTTACAGATCGTTTAGTATGCCATCTGGGCTTCAAAAAAATGACAACATTTTTGCCTAAATTTTAATGGGAAATAATATGAACTTTTGGAAACGTATCTGGAGAATTCAAACTGATATAAGAGTAAGTAAATAATCGTGTATAGAAAATTGTGCTATAAAAGGGAGAATTAACTCTAACCTTCTCCAATTTAGTTGCCTACTTTTCTTCACCTCTCCTTTTTAAAATACAGGTAACCTTTAATCTTTGACTTTCCCTTAAATAAAAATGATTACTATTTCAGTAGTAACACTCATTCTATGTTTGAAAAGGTGCACATTGAGAAATACTATTTAAAAATTTATTTAAAAATTATTTTATAGTTCAAAAATGAAAATTTTATTCAATTAAATTTAAGAAATCAATGTTGAATATATATTATATGAATTAAAAATGCTTTATTTCTCAATTTCATATTACAGTGTATCTGACTGGTGGAAAGGTCAAAGTATTCAGAATAATATATGGAGAAATCATAAAAAATAATTTAATAACGTTTTAAACACAGAAACTGAAATGTTCAAATAAGTGAGTTAAAATGAGAAACAACGAATGCTGGCCAGACACAGTAGCTCATGCCTGTAATCCCATCACTTTGAAAGGCCGAGGCAGGTGGATCTCTTGACCTCAGGAGTTCGAGACCAGCCTGGGCAACATGATGAAACCCCCTCTCTACTAAAATATTCTAGCATGCCTTCGGAAATAAAATTTTAATAAATAATGTATTTTAGAAAAAAATAAAATTCAGAAAAGTCTATCTACTTATTTTTTGTAACTCAGAAAAGTTTATTGACATCCATTTTTTTTTTTTTTTTTTTTTTTTTTTTGAGATGGAGTCTTGCTGTGTCCCCAGGCTGGAATGCAGTAGCACGATCTTGGCTCACTGCAACCTCCACCTCCCGAGTTCAAGCGATTCTCCTGCCTCAGCCTCCCGAGTAGCTGGGACTACAGGCACGCACCACCATTGATATCCATTATTAATGGCAGAGGACATTGGTTGACATTTCATAACACTTGTATGCCAAGGGAATTTATTTAAATAACCATATAACTATATAAATATTTAATAATTATATAAATTATAGTCCTGTAAATCTAAGTGGATCAAAAACTTTAAAATACCAAATGAATGACATTTTCTTATATTTAAGAAAGAATAATTATTACTAATATAATACTCTTAATATAAGTCTTTCTCATACATTAAAACAAATTTATTGGCTAGGTTTTATCTAAAACAGTTGGAATTTCATTTCTGTTATGGGCCTACAGTAAAACTAAAGGGAGGAAATAAATTATCCCCATATGGAAGGAACTGAAATTTTTAAATAGAGTACTATATTCTTCTACTCAGTCACTTATTCTGTCACCCTTTTGCTTCATTGCTTTCTTATTATAACTCTCTTCTCTTTCCAACACATACATACTTATACACGCAAACTCATACTTGTACATTTCCCAAAATATAATTTATGATATCAAGCATTTAATACGTATTGCGTATATCCTAGATATTGTCCAGCGGTTTCATTAACGGAAAAATTTGAAAGACCATATTGTAAATTTTACTTTTCAAGGGGCCCACAGAATAAGCTTTGAGTACAAGGCACTTAGCCCTACTGAATTTTGATAGAAATATGGCTATATCTGTGAAAACTGGAAACAAGGTGAAGATCTAAGAAAAATCTTGAGCCATTTATTGATAACAACAAAGAAGAAAAGAAAAATAATGTAATAATTAACATATCATTGTCATATATCTCAATATTGTTTTGTGGTTAATTCTCTATAAGCAATAATTTTCACTTTCTTGAAATAGACATTTTAAGTACTCAATTAGCACTTAATATTATATTCCCTACTGATAGTAAGACATAGGCCACAGACTTAAACTTCTACAACTTGAATTCTTCAAAAAGATTCATCATCTCTTTTGTAAGCAAGCTGTTACCTGCTGAAAAATTCAGAGTGTACACAGGGGGAACAACAATTTGATTTCATTCATAGCAATTATTCTTTTGAAGTAAACATACTTCTTCTTTTAATACTTATGTTGTATTGAAGAATAACATACATACAGAAAAGTATACAAGTCATGATTTTTACAGGGAACACATCCATGTAACCAGCATGCTGATCAAAATATAGGACACTGCAGCATCTCAGAAGACTCCCAGCTCCCAGGACCCATTCAGTCACTGAACACTCAAATGTATCTACTTTTATAACCTCTCTACCAAAGATTCATTTTGTCCATTTTTAAGATTTGTATCAATGAACTCACACTGTACACACAATTTTGCCTTTGTGTCCTTTTGCTCACCTTCATGTGAATGAGAACAATCCAATCCATTTTATTTATTATATTTGTGACTGTGTGCATGCTACCTTCTTCCTAAACTCATGTAAAAGTGTTAATTGAGTGTTAATCATACCAGTTTTAGTCCTGTTGAGAATACTACTATATATCAGAGTAAGGGGTTTTCTTTCTATTTCTTTTAAGTCAAACATTTATTTTAACTATCAATGGATGTGAAGTACTGTTAAAAGTTTATTCTTCATATATTGTGATGATGATACATTTTTCCTTATTTCTCTTTATGTGGTAGATTAAACTGATTTATTTTTTATATTTAACTTTACTTGCATTCATGGACTAAACTTCACTTTCCTCTTTTTAAAAATATAATTGGACCTAATTTTCAACTTTTTTTTAAGAATTTACAACTATTTGCATGAGAAGGATCATGTGTATTTTTTCCCTTGTTATATTATTGCCAGTTATGCTGTCCTTTGACTTGAGAATGATTCCCTCCTTTTCTGTAAAAGTTCATGTAAAATTGTTGTTTTTTCTTTCACAATTAGAAATAATTTGTTAGAGAAGCAAGTTACCCTGAATTTTTATTTGTTTGTGGGAAAGACGTATACATAGGTTAATTTTCTTAAATACATATGGAAGGCTTGGAACTACTTTTTCTGGTATTAATTTTGGTAAGTTGCGTTTTTTAAAGAATTTCTGTCCTTCCTCAAAATATTCCAAATTATATACAGTCATTCATAATATATTCTCATTGTTTATTATACGTTGGTTCTATAATTATGTGTCCTCTTTTACTCCAAATATTAGCAACTGCATACTCTTATTTTTTGTCTGTATAATTGCTTGATTATACACTTATTTTTTATGTGTGTAATTGCCTGATTAATTTATTGATGATTCCAAATTAATAACTATGTTTTCGATTATTGACATGCGTTATTCATGATTTCTTCTTTTCTAATCTATATGTTTTAAGTTATAAATGTCCCTCTAAAAATGTATTTAGCTGTAATCCACTAGCCGTGGTACATTACATATTGATTTTTATTTGACCTAAGAATTCACACATAACAATATTAACCTTAAATGTAAATGGGTGAAATGCCCCAATTAAAAGACACAGACTGGCAAATTGGATAGAGTCAAGGCCCATCAGTGTGCTGTATTCCGGAGACGCATCTCACATGCTAAGACACATATAGGCTCAGAATAATAAAGATGGAGGAATATTTACCAAGCAAATGGAAAGAAAAAAAAAAAGCAGGGGTTGCAATTCTAGGATCTGAAAAAATAGACTTTAAACCATCAAAGATCAAAAAAGACTAAGAAGGGCATTTTATAATGATAAAGGGATCAATGCAACAAGAAAAGCTAACTATCCTAAATATATATGCACCCAATACAGGAGCACCCAGATTCATAAAGCAAGTTCTTAGAGACCTACAAAGAGACTTAGACTCCCACACAATAATAATGGGAGACTTTAACACCCACTGTTGATATTAGACAGATCAATGAGACAGAAAATTAACAAGGGTATTCAGGACTTGAACTCAGCTCTGGACCAAGCGGACCTAATAGACATCTACAGAAGTTTCCACCCCAAATCAACAGAATGTACATTCTTCTCAGCACCACATAGCCCTTATTCTAAAATTGACCTCATAATTGGAAGTAAAACACTCCTCAGCAAATGCAAAAGAATGGAAAGTATAACAGTCTCTCAGAGCACAGAGCAATCAAATTAGAACTCAGGATTAAAAAACTCACTCAGAACTGCACAACTACATGGAAACTGAACAACCTGCTCCTGAATGACTACTGGGTATATAACAAAATTAAGGCAGAAATAAATGAGTTCTTTGAAACCAATGAGAGCAAAGACATAACGTACCAGAATCTCTGGGGCACAGCTAAGGCAGTGTTTAGAGGGAAATTTGTAGCACTAAATGCCTGCATGAGAAAGCAGGATATCACCACTGATCCTACAGAAATACAAACTAACATCAGAGAATACTATAAACACCTCTACACAAATAAACTAGAATATCTAGAAGAAATTGATAAATTCCTGGACACATACACCCTCCCAAGACTAAAGCAGGAAGAAGTCGAATCCCTGAATAGACAAATAACAAGTTCTGAAATTGAGGCAGTAATTAATAGCATATCAATCAAAAAAAAAAAGCTCAGGAACAGATGGATTCACAGCTGAATTCTACCAAAAGTACAAAGAGGAGCTGGTACCATTCCTTCTGAAACTATTCCAAACAATAGAGAAAGAGGGACTCCTCCCTAACTCATTTTATGAGGCCGGCATCATCCTGATACCAAAACCTGGCAGAGACACAAGAAAACAAGAAACTTTCAGGTCAGTATCCCTGATGAACAATGATGCAAAAATCCTCAATAAAATACTGGCAAACCAAATCCAGCAGCACATCAAAAAGCTTATCCACCACGATCAAGTTGGCTTCATCTCTAGGATGCAAGGCTGGTTCAACATACACAAATCAATAAACATAATTCATCACATAAACAGCTAATGACAAAGATCACATGATGATCTCAATAGATGCCGAAAAGGCCTTTGATAAAATTCAACACCCATTCATGCTAAAAACACTCAATGAACTAGGTATTGATTGAACATATCTCAAAATAGTGAGAGCTATTTATGACGAACCCACAGCCAATATCATACTGAATGGGCAAAAGCTGGAAACATTCCTTTGAAAACCAACCAGCACAAGACAAGGATATACTCTCACCACCCCTATTCAACATAGTATTGGAAGTTCTGTTCAGGGCAATCAGGCAAGAGAAAGAAATAAGGCATATTCAAATAGGAAGAGAGGAAGTCAAATTGTCTCTGTTTGCAGATGACATGATTGTATATTTAGACAACTCCATCATCTCAGCCCAAAAACTCCTTAAACTGAGAAGCAACTTCAGCAAAGTCTCAGGATACAATATCAATGTGCAAAAATCACAAGCATTACTATACACCAATTATAGACAAACATACAGCCAAATCATGAGTGAACTTTCATTCATAATTGCTACAAAGAGAATAAAATACCCAGGAATACAACTTTCAAGGAATGCGAAGGACCTCTTCAAGGAGAACTACAAACCACTTCTCAAAGAAATAAGAGAGGACAAAACAAATGGAAAAATATTCCATGTTCATCGATAGTGTGAATCAATATTGCGAAAATGACCATAATGGCCAAAGTAATTTATAGATTCAATGCTATTCCCATCAAGCAACCATTGATTTTCTTCACAGAATTAAAAAAAAAAAAACTACTTTAAATTTCATATGGAACCAAAAAAGAGCACGTATAGCCAAGACAATCCTAAGTAAAACGAACAAAGCTGGAGGCAGCAAACTACCTGACTTCAAACTATACTACAAGGCTACAGTAACTAAAATAGCAGGGTACTGGTACCAAAACAGACATATAGACCAATGGAACAGAGCAGAGACCTCAGAAATAACACCACCCATCTACAAACATCTGATCTTTGACAAACCTGACAAAAAGAAGCAATGGAGAAAGGATTCAATATTTATTAAAGGTCGTTGGGAAAACTGGCTAGCCATATGCAGAAGACTGAAACTGGGCCCCTTCCTTACACCTTACACAAAAATTAACTCAAGATGGAATAAAGACTTAAATGTAAGACCTAAAACCACACAAACCCTAGAAGATAACCTAGGCAATACTATTCAGGATATAGGTATGGGCAAAGACTTCATGAGTAAAACACCAAAAGCAATTGCAACAGAAGACAAAATTGACAAACGGGATCTAATTAAACTAAAGAGCTTCTGCCCAGCAAAAGAAACTATCGTCAGAGTGAACAGGCAACCTACAGAATGGGAGAAAATTTTTGCAATCTACCCATCTGACAAAGGGCTAATATCCAGAATCTACAAGGAACTTAAACAAATTTACAAGAAAAAAACAACCCCATCAAAAAGTGGGGGAAGGATGCGAACAGACAGTTTTCTCAAAATAAGACATTTATGTGGCAAAAAAATATGAAAAAAAGCTTATCATCACTGGTCATTAGAGAAATGCAAATCAAAACCACCATAAGATACCATCTCACACCAGTTAGAATGGTGATCATTAAAAAGTCAGGAAACAACAGATGCTGGACAGGATGTGGAGAAATAGGAACACTTTTACAGTGTTGGTGGGAGTATAAATTAGTTCAACCATTGTGGAAGACAGTGTGGCGATTCCTCAAGGATCTATAACCAGAAATACGATTTGACCCAGTAACCCCATTACTGGGTATACACCCAAAGGGTTATAAATCATTCTACTATAAAGACACATGCACATGTGTGTTTATTGCAGCACTGTTCACAGTAGCAAAAACTTGGAACCAACTCAAATGCCCATCAATGATAGACTGGATAAAGAAAATGTGGCACATATACACCATGGAATACTATGCAGCCATAAAAAAGAATGAGTTCATCTCCTTTGCAGCAACATGGATGAAGCTGGAAGCCATCATTCTCAGCAAACTAACATAGGGACAGAAAACCAAACACCTCATGTTCTCACTCATAAGTTGGAGTTGAACAATGAGAACATATGGACACAGGGAGGGGAACATCATACACATTGGGGCCTGTTGGGGGTATGGGGGGCAAAAGGAGGGATAGCATTAGGAGATGTACCTAATGGAGATGACAGGTTGATGGGTGCAGCAAACCACCATGGCAAATGCCTATCTATGTAACAAACCTGCACATTCTGCACATGTATCCCAGAACTTACAGTATAATAATAATAATAATAATAACTATTTTTTAGTTCAGGTTTTCAGAAAATAAATTATCTATGCTTGCCTGCACGGCCCTTTATTTCTTCTTTATCAAAAATAGTTTACTCTTGTTATATATTTACTTCAATTCTGTCATAGAACACGTAGTTCCTCTGTATTCTAGTTTTTTTTTTTTCAAAGATGGAAATTATCTGAAAATCAGAGTTACCTCTTAAGACAAATATTAGCAGGATAGGCTGTGGGGTATACAACAGATTCTCATTTGAAAGCCATAGACGGTCATGCAGTCACCAGAGGTATGCTGAAATTCACCAGAGCTACACCTCACTCTTGAGTCAGCTCAGTCCTGATCAAGGTGAGCAGCCATTACAATCTCTGCCTAGCAGAGAGATAGATCAACCCTCACTGGAGAAAGATGATAGCATTGGGAACCTACAAGATTTTAAGACACAATTTTCAGTATTAAATATTAGAAACATATATTAGGTGTACCAAGGAAATAAATCGACATGGCCTAAATGTAAGAGGCAAAGAGAGAATAATAGAGAGAGAGAAAAAACTACAGTTGATTCAGCTTTTGGAGTTACATGAAAGAGACTATAACATAACTATAACAAACTTGTATTAGAAAACAATTAAAAGGTGGGAAAATAGATGACAGTATGTGGAGACCAATGAGATAACTGAATCTATTAAAACTCAAATGGAAATTATATATTATAAAACTTGATATGCAAAATTAAGAACTCATTAGTTTTAATAAAGTCAGAAGAATAACAGACATGACTAGTGACTTTGAAGAACAGGTTTTCAGAGGATATAAAAACTTAAGCATGTAGACAGGAAAGAATAGAAGAAACTAAGCAAGAACATAAAATATATAACAAACAATAAAAATATGAATTTGTAATCTCAGATAATGTAGTCACAGATGAGAGAAAAGAATAGATCAAAAGAAATATTTGAAATGATATTTGCTGAGCATTTCCAAACTGGTCGAAGACTTCAACCTACGTAATTGGAAAGATTCTGTTTATTTTTTGTAGGATAAATATATGTAAAGAACATATAAAATCTTTTAACATTGTGAAGTACACAATGAATTCGTTAAGTTCATAAAGAACACTTAAAGCTAGATTTGGGAGGGAATAGGGAGTTGATGATCAACGGGTACACAGTTCCAGATAGGAGAAATGGTTTTAGAGATACATGGCACAGCAGGGTGACCATAGTTAATAATAATGTAAAAAATAACTAAGAGAATACATTTCAAATGTCTCACCATAAAAAATGAAAGGTAAGTGAGGTGATGAATATAATAATTAGCTTGATTTAATCATGCAATATAGTATACATATATGAAAATATGTTGCATCTCATAAATGTATACAATTATAATTTGTCAATCAATATTAATGAGAAAAAAGCAGATATGAGAAAAAATTCTTACATCAATCAGAGAAAAGTAATGTATGTACTTTTAAAAGAAATAAAGTAGACTGTCAACCGACTTCTCTATAGTTTTCTATAAAATCCAGCTTGATATTAAATTTAAATTTTATACCATCTTTGCTGAAATGCAAAGAAACCCAACCTGTATTTAAATGTCATTGATAATGCATTTTTTTGGTATCACACTGATCATAAAGCAAGAGAAGATGTACGTTAGGTAAAATAAAAATGTATGTCAAATCTTATTGTTCTCCTTTTCCCAATTAAATGCCCACATTTGTGCAACCCCACTTTTTCATTTATCCAGAGTACATCATTGCCCAAAGACTAAATTCCAGATAATACCTGATGTTTCCTGTCATTATAGATGGTGTTATAATTGAATCTATGTTTCTAGGTCTACCTGAGAGGATTCTTAATTATTAAATGGATGTAATTGATGACTTATTTGCAAATCTATGTTTTAGTATGCATTATATTCCATAGAAAACATATAATCATATATAGCTTAGTCATATTAAATTACTTTGTTTAAAAATCCAACCAAAATATATGCATGAATCCCTATATGCGTGTGTGTACACACACACACACACACACACACACACACACACACGGCAGAAGAGTCATTGAATTGAGTGTTAGAAGAACAAAGATATATTTCTCATTTTGCATTAAATCTCTACATGAAATCAGTAGAGAAGGGTCTGATTTGCTTTCTGTGGAATTTGTTTCTCTCAAATATTATGGAGGAAGGAATTGCTGGTGCCCCGTTTGCTTTGTTTATCAGCTCAGGTGGGCTGTTGCTTGTAGACTGTACATTCAAAGGCTAAAATATAATTGGAGTGTTTTATGTTGAGTTGGGTAACATCAGTAAGTTATTCATAAATTTTCAGATCAGTTCAATTTGCTTTCTCCTATGTATTGAACTGGAGGAGCAAAGGGCAATACACTGTACATTTCACCTCTTAAAATAAATATGTTGAAGAAAGATTTACTAAAAACAATTCTTGATGAAAATTACAGTGGATCTAATTACATCAGATGTTTCAGTTTGACTTTTATTTGAGATGACAATGAACTGACCTGGTGATCTTATCACTGGAGAAAACTAGGTTAGCAAAGGATCTTTAAAGTCCTTTCTCTTGAGCAAGAGCTGTGTATTTATTAACAGTGTTTTCTTAAGGAGAAAAATGGGCAACTGTGAACTTTTGGACATATCCTTTCCAGCCTCACAATATGACATAATTATTAATGTGAAAGTAATAATATAAATATGCTCTATGCATACATTAATACTGATTAGCTTTTTATGCTTTAACCCTGAACTATAACTGAAATATTTCAACATAATTTCACTGAGAAATAGGCATATACAACTTGAAAGGGAGATTCTAAATTTTTGCATTATTTAAGCCAATTCTGATTTTTTCCATACAATATATGACAGATATATATTTTCGGAATGGGTTTTATTTAGTATCTGAATTTTACTGATTAAGGCTTATTTCATGTATTTGTGGAGTTGATTGTGTTTGTGTGACACTCTGTTGACTCCAGAAAAGACTTCTTACCCAGAAATATGATATATTTCTGTGTTGGTGGAGTATCATTGTCTCTCCAATGAGGGAGAAATGTTAAAATAGGTCACTGAAAAACACCTGCCTTAGAGTCAGGTCATATAACATGTAGTTATGGATACTAAGGTTTGAGAAGCAATGGTTAAAAAGTGTATAATTAACAAAATAATTGCCCTCCATCCCCTAGCACTAAATGCAGCCTGAGGAATTATTCTCTCTTTCTCTCTCTCTTTCTTATCCCTCTCTCATCTTTACATTTGTCCTTCTTTATTTATTTATTTATTCTTTTTTATCTTTTTTGTGTGTGCGTGTGTGTAGTCACTTCATTCCACGTCACTACTTAGTATCACAATGAACTCCATTTCCAATTCTAGGATGACAATTTAGTTACTCCAGACAGAGACCATCAGGAATACATGTGTGGTTGAATGAGTTAGGTTAATTGTTTGTGGCAAAAGGGAGAAGGCACGCCACTGGATGCCTCAAAAAGAGGCTGTTGAAAGAGATGGATTATAGGACTTGGGCTTATTTAGATCATGTTACAATGAATTAGAGAAGTTACACTTTGCTGTAATTAGATGCTTTGAAGAAGCAAGGGTATTTGATTCTTTATCAACCTTATCTAGGAGGAGGTTGGACAAAGGCAGTGCCATATTTAGTAAAGAGGCAACAGTTGCTCCAATTAGCCATGGTCGATGAAATTGGGTTATTTTTGTTGCTTAGATATTGCTGATGCTTTATCTGTTTGGACAGGATTATGGAGTGGCCTTGTTTTGTTTGAATTCATCCTGGTCACATAGTGATATTATCTGATGTTAATATTTTGTGAAATGCTATGTTTAACAGATGAACACCATAGTCAAGCTGAGAGTACAAGACCAGATATTAGTTTCAGTGAATATTTTTCTCTTATCACTAGCAGGCTGTGAATCTTAAGCACTCTCTCCTTCCAATAGCATAGGACAGTAGTGAAAAAAATACATACTCTTGAATCATACTGCCAGGTTTGATTGAATACTTAACTTGTCCATTAGTCAGCATATTAAAAAATACTTATATTACTAATCTGTACTTTATCCGCTTCAACTAAAAATTGGACATAATAACAATAACTCTCTCAGAAAATAACTGTGAAGGTTAAACAAATTAGTACATGTAAAGTTACTAGACTAGTGCTTAGCACATTTCACAGTAATGCTGTGAAAATGTTAGCTATTATTATTTATCAGTTTTTCTCTTTGCAAGTAAACATTGGAATGCCTAAAGACTTGTTCATATCACGTTCAAATCTTGTTTATCACTATTGTTTCTATAAGCTATTGGTAAACTCAATCCCAAATGCTTCAAAGCCCTCAAGTCACCCTCTAGGTTAGGGCCTTGACTTAATCTGCACAATAAGAAAATACTCTCCACCATTGCTTCTGGTAGACATTAGATAAATGTCTATTTAGTCAATAAATGAATGATTAGATTTCCAGAACTTTTGACAACTAGACTGGAGGTAGGATACAAGACTTGTAGAATTGTCAGATGAATATCCTACTATTTGTTTTGTTTCAAAGAAAACAGAGAAATTCATTATTTTTTGACTGGCTTGAAATATGAGTTTAGAAACACATCCACCACAAACTTGTGGAGATATATATATAGATATAGATATAGATATATGCATGTGTGTATGTGTATATATACATATGTATGTGTGTGTGTGTGTGTGTGTATATAGGTACATGTATATGTACCTATATATACGCGCACACACACACACATACATACACTGCTTTAAAATTATGTATCCCTAAACAAAATAACAATAACTGCAGCAGAAGAACTAGTACTGGTAGAATTTCAACTCTCAGGATATACTTCTGTGGTTGTCTTCTTCGATAATTTTATATAATCATTAACTCGCCCATGAAAACACAGCCAATTTCTTAACTTGCAAGCAGTGACAGCATGACTAATGGCACTTTCCTGGTGAGGTCATTCTTTCTCACACCTCTGTGCCTTTGCACATGCTGCTCCTTAGGCTTCAATGCCTTCTCTCCATCTGCACCTGGCTGACTTCCAATTCACAGTTCATGATTTTGCTTAGGAATCTTATCCTCCAAAGAAGCTTTACTTAGAAAATGATTTTTTGTAGGTCTCCAAAACTAGGAGTGAAGAAGGGAAAGAAACACAAAAGAATGATTAAAATAACTATTAAAATATTTTATTACTTCTCAATTTTGCCTAGATTAATCTTATCTATATTCAACTTAAATACATTTAAAAATTGTATAGTATAGTTAATTCATATTTATCCATAAAACTCCATGCCTTCACTGATATTGTATTTATATATTCATGTTCAGATCTCATTTTTGAAGTCAAATGCTATCTTGGGAATGTGAATATTGCAGAGGAAAACTGTATGTGTATGTATAGTCAGATTATAACATTAGATAATAAAATCAAAACTTGAACTGGAGGATAGTACTCCAGAGAAAATAGAATTTTAGTATCCTATGTGAATACCTTATATTTAGTATTCTTTATCCCTTGTAACGCCATTATTTTGTTTTTCAAAATAATAATGCTATCACTAAAATGGAACAATTGATGAACTTTCTACCATTTGTTAAGATTATTATCAGTTAATGGAGAACAATTTGTTATAGTAATGGTTAAGGTATTTATAACTTATAAATATCATATTACTGTAAATCACATATATACAGACACATACACACAATTTTTATGTCTTTTTAAGGTAAGCCTTGTTAACAATTATTGCAGCAATATTTTACAGCAAGGTTGTTGTCCTACTCTTTAAATGCATTTTCAATCCTTACTTCATTATGCAGGCTCTCATTTCTCTCATGGAAAAATTTATTCAAAAGAGGAAATTAGGGTTCTCACAGTGTTAGCATTAAAATGGATTTTTAAAATTATCTAATTCTAACTTGGTTAATCAAGATCAACTAATAGATCTCTTGGTCGCTGTCTGTAGGTATGCTCCACATCATAGGTATAAGCATTACCAAATTCCAGCTTTAAATAGTGGTAAGTGTGATGATTAATTTTATGAATCAACTTCGCGGGGCCATGGTGCCCATGGTCAAATGTTATTCTGGATGTTTCTATCAGGGTGTTTTCTTTGGTTGAGATTAAGATTTAAATCGGTGGACTTTGAGTAAAGCAGATTACCCTCCATGATGTGAGCCTCATCCAAACAGTTGAAGGCCTTAGAAAAATACTGACCTTCCTGAGCAAGAAGAATTCCACCAGCAGACTGCCCTTAGACCTGAGCAGTAAACTTTCTCTAAATTTCCACCCTGCCAGCCTACCCTGAAGATCTTAGACGCACTAAGCCTTCATAATCATCTGAGCCAGTTTCCTATAATCAATCTTTTTCCCTCTCCACACACACACTGTTGCTTCTGTTTCTTTGAAGAATCCAGTTTAATACATTTAGTAAAGGAATGTCCTAAGTCCAATCCTAGCTGCAGTATCCTAGGAAAGCAAGTGTGTGTGTGTACTTGCTATTTCATAGGGTTACTGTGGGACTGAAGCCATGGTGCACAGAATTTTGGGCAGAGGAGAGGAAAAAAAATTGGAGCTGTGTACTTTCAAAATCTGAATACCCACAAAAACCACGATGAGCAAATGACAGAATATTATCCCTGGTCACAAAAACCTATTAACTTTTCTGACCTAAACTATAGCCTGGGAAACCAACCAGCAAAATTATTTTTGCATTTCTATTAAAAACTATTTATCCCTTAACAAAAATAGACTTTAAAAGAAATCTTTAGGAATAAGTCTGTCAGTTGAGTACCCATGAATAAGTCTGAATATGAATAAGGAAAATCTATATTTATTTGTATCAAATTGAGAATTGTGCATATTTTGATTACACTCTTCTGAATTTGAAACTAATGTTTTATAATTTGTTGATATTTATTCCTGATTATATGCTTTCCATCAAAAATGTATTAAATATAAAATATATTCTATGCTCACTGCATTACTCTTTGTGCTGAAAACACAGTAGAAAACATATAAAACACTACCTCAAGGTTTAGCAGTAATTTAACTTGCTGTCAAGCAAACAAGCGTGAAAAATGTATAGAAAATATATCTTAGCCCTATACTGTAATTTAGAAAGCCTAAAGTTAGTAGTCATTGGTCTAGGCTACTGAAAGAAAAATATTCAGGAATAAAAAATTTTAGAAGTTGTTTATTTTTAAAATCAGCATCTTAAATTCTGAGTGAGTATATGAGCAAAAGATTTATATTTGCCCATAGACTTCATTATGGACGCTGTCAGAATTTCTGTAATGGCTTCATGTAAGCTTATTCATGGTTGACAAGAAATTATTTTAATTGTGACATGACATGGTACTACCTATATTTTTTTCAAATTTATTATCTTAGAAGAAACACATTTGAATTAATGTAAAATATTGGAAAATATATCAGAGTGAAGCTAGAGGCAGAGATATAAATTAGAATTAAATTGCCTATCTATTCTCCCTTTCTAGAAGATAGCATAGGCTAAAGCACTGGAAAAGGCATAAAATACCTCTGTCTGGTTCAACTCGTAACTCATTTTACTCCCAGAATTGTATTTTTAAGATAAATAAATAAAATTGAAGGCTTAAAAAATATCGTGCATTTTTGCATCAACTCCAGGGGTACACTAGGAAAGTTGTCTGAGAAAAAAATACAGGGGAAGACTTTAAAAAATCTATATATTATGGGAATAAATGTTTTTCTACATTGATCATAAGAATGTGTATTCAATTGGAACACAGAAGTCTTTGCAAATAGTTCTTTTTTTATTTTATTATTATTATACTTTAAGTTTTCGGGTACATGTGCACAATGTGCAGGTTTGTTACATATGCATACATGTGCCATGTTGGTGTGCTGCACCCATTAACTCGTCATTTAGCATTAGGTATATCTCCTAATGCTATCCCTCCCCGCTCCTCCCACCCCACAACAGTCCCGGGTGTGTGATGTTCCCCTAACAATCTAAATGTCCAACAACGATAGCCTGGATTAAGAAAATGTGGGACATATACACCACGGAATACTATGCAGCCATAAAAAATAATGAGTTCATGTCCTTTGTAGGGACATGGATGAAACTGGAAACCATCATTCTCAGCAAACTATCGCAAGGACAAAAAACCAAACACCGCGTGTTGTCACCCTTAGGTGGGAATTGAGCAAATAGTTCTTTAAACTGACAGGTAATTGACTTTGACTGAAGGGGAACATGATTGGTAAAATCCTGGGAATGGGAGGCTTGACTGTCTACAGTTTAACTTGATCACCAGTGTTATTTGTAACCTCTGTACTATGACTATCTTCCACAATTGAACAAAATCTACTTAAAATTAATGAGGTACAAAAGAACTGCATCTTCAGCAACTTAGCTAATTCACAGTATAAGAATCCAATCCTAAGTAAAGAGCAGATTCTCAAGTGTGCCTAGGCATGACTATATTACAGATTCCAAAAAATCATCACACCCTTTAAAAACAAGTGAAGACCTGAAGATAAAGGTATCTGGAATGCGACATCATTTTTTAATTTTAAGTTAACGTTTGAGATATGTTTTTCCAGGTACCTATTTTCTAAGACATACTTAGAAAATACTTTAGATCAGTTTAGATATCATTATATTTTTCAATATGTGTAATGGATTTCACAGTAACACTTGCAAGCTTATATTTACTTTATATACAAATATTTTGTTATGTACATGAACATCACTGAAACATCTCCTATAAGATGTGAAATATATTACAGTATTATTATCTTAAAATATGATTTCTAGGTTTAATAATATTAGGACTATACTAAATGGAATGTCTCCTGCTTGCATATCACAGACTCTTGAACTTAATTTTTCAGTTGTATGTATGTATTAGTAATTTGTATTTAAATTATAGCTCTTTATAAGTTTAACAAGGATTCTATGTGTTAAATGATTCCAATGTGAATTAAACTCAAAAGAAAGTTTAATATTTCAAAAAAAGACAGTTCTATATGCATCAATATTCTCTGCTCTCCAATATTGTATGAAACTTGTAGAAAGTACATAAATTATAATTAACCAATTGCAACAACATTCATAAAAATCAATAATATGCTTACCTTTAACAAGGTACCTTTCTACCTTTCATCTTTCAATGTAGGTATTAGGTTGTGAACCTCATGAATACTGTGTCTTCAAAAAGTGAAAATTTTTGAAAGGGAAACTTTCATGTTTTAACTGGAAAAATATTATTTTCTTTTAAGGATGAAATGTAAAAGAGAAATAAGCTTTTTTTCTAGATTTCTATCTTATTTTGATAATATCCAGATAATCGCTTAGTAATAATATTTAAAACTACACTATCAGAATATTACCCACACTTCACTTTTATAATATCAAATAATTGTTAACAAATACTAATGTTAAGAGGTGAAGCTTATTACGTGCTCCCACATTTATGGTATTGTTCTATGTGCCTTATAAAATAAATACTCTTATTAATGCTATTTCCAGATGATAAAATTAAGGTAGATATTAAAATGTGCAAGTTTACAAATTTCCTAAGCCCAGAGCCAAAAAAAAAAACACTAGATGGAGTTTTAATTATTTTATTTTATTAATTTTTTCTTTAACCACTATCTTAACTACTGTGTCCTCTACCATTGTTCTAAGTGTGGTGGACACAAAAATTATTCAATAATTTGTGAAGATATGAAATATAACATTTCAAAGATAGTCTTTGGGTTAGGCTGATAAAAGGTGATTTTTTATTTATAAAAACCTAGTTGAATTCTGATTCCACAATGTATTATTTCTGTGATGGTGGACAAGTTGCTTAACCTCTCTGTGCCCCATATGGTTTGTCTGTAAAATGTGTCTAATAACCACAATTATGAAAATATTTACTATTCATGTTGTTTTGAACACAAATTACATAATCCATGTAATTAGTCCAATTATATTTTACATTTTTGTATTCTCAGAATTGAACAAGGTGGTTATTATGTAATAATCAGTAAGTAGATGCCTAATACTATTAGTAATATTCTTAGTATTATTTCAACTGAAAACATTGTTCACAACAAAAAGAACATTGCGCATAAATTTGGTACTGTACTTGGTAAATTTATAGACATATACGATAACAATTTTAAAAATACCTATTTACAAAGATACACAGGTTTACAGTTAAGAAATTAATGTTAGATAATGACAACCAGGCTTCTTACTGTCAGAAAACTTCTAAATATCTCTAGATACTCCAAGCTCCAAGAGAGAGAGCTTAATTTTCTCTCCTGTGAAGTGTGAACTGGACTATAGTTCACTTCCAAACAATAAAGTATGAAAAGTGAAAATTGGCAACTTTAAAAGGAAGCCTGAAACACATAACCTTAACCAAGTGATCAAAGTTAACGTCACCAAGAATGTCATGTGGATATCACATACCTCTGACATGATGTGATGAGAAGGGCATTTGCCCTCTGTAGTGTTCTTTCCCCAGACTAATAACCCATTTCCAGTCATGAGGAAAACATCTAACCAAACCCCAAATGGGAGCCATTTTACAAAATGCCTGACCAGCACTCTTCAAAACTGTTAAGCCAGTGAAAAACAAATACTGAGCAATTGTCACAAACCAGAGGAGAATAAGGAGATAAATAAAACCGAGACACAGCAAGAATCCAGGATGGGATCCTGAACCATAAAAAGGACATTAATATAATATAAGAACTAGTAAAATCCAAATAAAATCTGGAGTTTACTTAATAGTCATGTGTCAGTGAAAACTTCTTGATTTTGATAAATGCACCCTGATTATTTTAACATTAGTAGAAACTAGTTGAAGTGTATATTGAAGCTCTCTGTACTATTTTGCAGCTTTCTGTAAATCTAAATGTATTTTAAACTTAAAAGGTTTATTAAAAAATATTGATAATTCTAACAATCTAACTTTTTGGATACATTAAAGATGGATTGCATAAAGCTTACACATGAAATAATAAACCTATAAAGGTTACATTTATTTTGTCTGTTGTAGGGTAGTGCTCTGATTTTGAATGTAGCATAATAATCAATATATATATAAATTATGACTTTGAATTTACGATTATGAGCTTGCTGAATTAACATCATGCAATTTTTACCTAATCAGGTAATTATATCTGGACTCATCCAATAATTTAAAAAATGTCCTAGTAAAGTTCTTATTTCTAGATTATGAAATGATTTTTCTTTTTTCAAAAGGGTATTTGGCATTTTAAATACATTATCGTGCTTTTTCTGTATTACTGTACAGGAAGTCTTTGGAATATGTAACCGCATACACATATAAGCTGTTTAATATAGGCTGGCTGAATCAACTAATAAAAGTTCACTCTTTTGTCTCCTTTTAATCTCAAGAGGAAAAGAATTTCAAAGTATATGGAATTCCAAATAGAAATCAAGCATCTGAAAATTTCATGGATCTCATTTTATAAAATTTGCTATTATTTTAAAATTCTATTTTGTAACACATCCTTAAATTCAGTACATGCAAAGGAATATATTATTTAAATTCAATAGCTTCCCAATTCACGATAATCTCTAGAAGCCTGGGGATTTTTCTTTTGCTGCCTCTCCAAACCATTTTCTTCTTCTTATATTGTTTCTACTCCATTAATTCCAGTGGTTTTAAAATATTGTTAAACCATTTAGTCTTATTTCTTGTTATGTGGCATTATTTAAATGAAGACGTTAGAAAGAGTAGTTATATTTCAGACTGAAATGAATGCTTTGATTTTTTGAAGCATTCATTAGCTACTAAAATATTTATTGCTAGTGTTTAAACATCATGCTCTAAAATAAAAAACCCTGCCAAGTGCTCTTTGTATAACTAATGTTCAAATAGGCACACTAGAAAGATAAGTTGCTATGAAATCTATTAACTCATGCATGTGAATAATTTAAAACCATACCTACTAATTTTATTTTGCTTTGTAAAAATCTTTCTCGTGCCCAGTATAGAATACAGAGGAGTATTCATAAATTAGTATATTTATGTAACATTTGCCCCTAATATCAAATTATATGTTAAATTCAGAGGTAACTAGGTAAGAATGATTCTTTGGGAGAAAGTTAGCTTGAATGTAAAGGTAAACTTCTCCCAGTTGGCAGTCTGAATTATCTATTATGTGAATTTGAACAAAATTTGTATGTCATAGGATCATTGAGTTAAGATACTTGACAGAAGAGAAAATTTTGACATGCACTCAGCTTAATATCCCTCGGAAAGAAGCTTGTTTCTTATTAGAAATCAATTTCATCACTAGGTTAGAAACTGCTATGTGGAAAGATCAGTAAAAATTTTTCATCTTTCAGTAAACATGAAACAAAAACCAAAATGAAATAACAGAACAACACATACACACACAAACATATTGAACTGAAAAAAAATAGGTTTAGCCTGAGGAAATGAAATATTTCACATAGAACCAATAGTATGCAGAAGGATAATAACATCCTTTTAAGAAAGCAAATCATGAATTGAACGGGGAGCCCCAACATTTACCTTTTGAGAAATCCAGAGAACTAGAACTTGAAGTGCATGAAATAAAAAGAAGAAAATTAAAATAATAAAACCCCCACAGCAGATAGAATACCCTTCTAACGCATTTTTTGTACTTCAATCTCATTTCTTACTTAATATTCCTACATAACTTGTTTTTTAAAAAATCAACTACTACTATATATTTTATATCCTACTTTTACTATTAAACATATACATTTCTCATTACATATTGTTAACTATATATTTCATCAAAACTTATTATTAAGTATTTTCTTGTCACTGAACATTAACCAATAGGATGGATAAAATTTCAAGCCAGCTCAGGCAGATTTATACATTTATATGTTTGTATATCAAGAAGTAGTGAACATTCCTATCTCTTTGCTTCTACTTTCTCTGAGAACTAAGAGACAAGATTATGTGTATATAGGGAGCAGATTGAATAAGCATAAAAGGATTTTTATCCATGTCTAGGTAGCCCTGTGTGTGTATTGGTGTTACTCTACCAATTACCCTTATGATATAGGGCAGAATGCAGCTACATCTACAGATATGAAAAGGGCAGATGGTTAGGTTCATCTAGGATTCCAGTTTAATTTCAGTGCTGAAAGAACAAAGGAATAGGAAAGTTGAAGCGCTTTGCAAGGTTTTTTGTTTGTTTGTTTGTTTTTTGTTTTTAGATAAAGGCATTGGAAGCCAAACTGTATAGACAGGTAGATTAGTCAGGTTAAGCTGCTGGAACAAAAAAAAAGTATCATAGACTTGGTGGCTTACAACCAACAGAAATTTATTTCTCACACTCCATAGATTGGAAGTCTGAGATCAGGGTTCCAGTGTGGTCACATTCTAGGCAGAGCTAGGGAGAGCTCTCTCCTAGGTTTGAGATTGCCAACTTGTAATTGTGTCTTCCCATTGTGGAAAGAGAGCTAGAGCACTCATTGGGGTCTCTTTTCTGAGTGTGCTATTCTCACTCATGAGGGCTCCATTATCACACCCTCATGAACTAATTACCTCCCAAAGGCCCCAAATACCATCACATTGGTGATTAGATTTCAACATAAGAATTGGGGATGTGAACGCAAACATTTAGTTAATAACAGTAGGAAAATCTAGATGGGAGTGTATCTTCAAACAAAGAGAAAGTTGAACATGCAGCAATTAGTTCACATCCTCATTTATAGCAGAAACCTAGAGAATCTCCATGCTACTTGGATAGTATCTTCCTTTCACCACTATGGTAGAGTCAAAGTATGATATATACATATATAATGAATATGTGTTAAAGATTTATTTAATGAGAAAATCAGCAGGATAGTAAATATGGTTGAAAGAGGATTTGAGAAAGAGAGATTTATAGTCAGAAAAGGCATGCTATAATAAGTCTGCTAAATTGGAGACAAAACTGTTAATATCCTGTAGCATGACAAAACTGAAAGCTCTGGAGGTATATTGTCTGCCAAACAGAAATCATTTTAATTTAATTTTTATTGGGAGAAAAATAGACAAGTAAAAGTGTAACATCACAGAATCTAGGCTCTTATCAATAGTAAATAATAAGTCCAATAAACGAGTGCTTTTCTCAGATAATTAAATATTCCCTGCATGGACTTGTTATATAATGCTCTACAGTGATATTGAAAAAACATTTAGTCCATCCTCTTGCCTTGTACACAAGTTTGAATACTTTGCTTTGCTTAACAAAAGCAATATAGACTATCTCTTAAAAACCAGTAACAAACCTAAATCCTGATTAGACTTTTTCCTGTTCTTAACCCTGACTAAACACAAGGAGACTATAGAAAGTATTCTTTCACCTATTTTCTAACCAATTATTCTTTGTTAGATTTTCAGTCTCTTTCTGAGATTTTTAGTTATGGGAATTCAGACATAAAGCAATGAAGGGTCATGGGATTTTCTATCTTTTCAGGCTATTATGAATAAAAGGCTATGGAGGTCAAGCACTGAACCCCAACCCAAATAGCCCCACCTGCTCTCTAATGTCAAGTCATTCAAAATTTGGTATTGGTTGTCTACAAGTCCAATTCTTGCGTTGTGAAATCCCACCTTTTTCTGTCTTAATAGGGATTTATCAGTATTATCTCATTACCTAGAAAGTGGACACCTCACTCTATAGTGTGTCTCCATTCATGAGAAACAAAAGCAAGATAAACCATTTCAGAGGTTAAGTTGTCCCATATCTGAACCCTGTTTACCATAGATTATAGTCCAGTGTTATGAATTTTTCTTTCACATGAAATAACTAACAGAAGTATGTGTTTATATTTCCCTATCCTACTCAAATACTTTACTTATGAAGTAGATTTTGTATATGTTGATATTTTGTCACATAAAATATACTTTGGATTTAATGTGGTGGTTTTGAAATTTATCTTAAGCAACTTGCACATAATCTTAACAAATTTTTTGTGTTATGTGAATAAGATAACTTTAGAAGTGGTCAGATAATCAAAATATGAAAAAAAAAAAAATGTGCTGTTAATCCTGGACAGTTGCAGCTTTTCATAACACTCTACATAGTCATGAATTTTTAATGAATGTTTGTGAATTCATATTTCTAATTATTCATTAAAATTCATTGTTAGATGCTATCATTATGCTGTGTCATGAATTTCCATGAATATGAAATGAAAATCAACGCACATGATGTTAAATCTTCAGAAACATTTCTCCAACATGATACTAGAGTTCATGGTTATAAATACTTTATGAAGTCCCATATCTATAATGGTACTTATAATTCAAAGTTAATTGCATATATTTGCACATTAATTGTCTTCCCAAAATGCTAGAATTAATTACTAAAGTAAAAAAATAAAAAATAAATTAAAAAAAGATGAAAAAAGGTGTTATTTTATGCTAGAAAGTATTATCCCATGAAGAGTGTCTAAGATGAACCACCACTATTTCACCTGTGGAACATTAAAAGCACACACACACAACAAAATAGCATAACAAAACAAATCTACCCAACATAGACTTTGTGAATCTAAGTCTTCAGGGATGTGGGAAACAAATGCCTGAGGGTAGTTCCTTTGCAGATTCACAGACAACTTGTATGTAGGTAACTATCCTTTTTAATTTGGCATTTATAGCAATTTCTATTTTGAATTTCTTAGCATTTTTTAAAATATCAAGTACTTATATAAACAAGAAGGACTATGTCTTCTTTAGGTATTTCTATAGGCACGTTTACTTGATCAGCAAATATTTATTAGAGAGCCTGTTTTACTAGGATTGATAATTCAACAGTGAACCAGACAGAAAAGGTCTGTCTCTCATAGTTCACATTCTGTTAGGGAGAGAAGCAACAAATGCAAACACATATACATTTATTTATACATAATATCCCAGCTGGTAAAGGTAATAAAGGTAAAGCAAACATGATAGATACAGAATGGAAGGAACTAACATTTAACATGAGACTGTCAGGGAAGTAATCTGTGAGGAGGTGGTACCATACTGAAATTTAAATAAATTGAGGGATCTGCTGCAAGTACTAGCAGATATATAGGAGAAGAACATTTCAAGGAAAAAAAAAAAAAAAAAGAAAACAGCTTTAAGAGCAAAGGACCTGGATAAAAGTGGGCTTAGAATATTCACAGACCAGGAAGGTAACTAATGTCCATGGAAGAGACTCAAAGTGGGAGACAGTTGTGTGGGTCAATTTCAGAGAGGAGATTGATGGCCAAATTATAGAAATAATAATTATTATTTTATTTTTTATTTTATTTATTTATTTATTTATTTTGAAACAGAGTTTCGTTCTTATTGCCCAGGCTGGAGTGCAATGGCATGATCTCTGCTCACCACAACCTCTGCCTCCCAGGTTCAAGCAATTCTCCTGCCTCAGCCTCCCGAGTAGCTGGGATTACAGGCATGAGCCACCACACAACTAATTTTTTGTATTTTTAGTAGAGACGGGGTTTCTCCATGTTGGTCAGGCTGGTCTCAAACTCCCAACCTCAGGTGACCGGCCCACCTCTGCCTCCCAAAGTGCTGGGATTAGAGGTGTGAGCCACCACGCCCGGCCTAAAAAGAATTATTTTAAAAGCAAGATAAGGACTTAAGATTTTATACTAAGGAGTAACATAACCTGAATTATAATTTTAAAATAACGCTTTACTGTGTAGAAAATAAAATTCTAAACATTAACAGTACAGAAAAAGAGACTAGTTAGACAGTGGTGGCAAAAGACCAGGACAGATATACTGTTGGCTTAGACTTGAGTGATACAAGTGAAGGTCATAAAAATGGTTATGTTCTTATATTATCTACCTTCTACAGACATCAAAGGCTTGGCTGCCAGTGCTATTTGAGTTACGGTTTTAGGAAATCTAAACAGCAATATTTGAGGTAAAGTTTTAAAAATACTTACTGTATTAGTCTGTTTTCACACTGCAATGAAGACATTCCAAAGACTGGATCATTTATAAAGGAAAGAGGTTTAAAGGACTCAGAGTTCCACATGGCTTGGGAGGTCTCACAATCACAGCTGTAGGCAAAGGAGAAGCAAAGGTATGTCTTACATGGCAGCAGGTGAAAAGAGAATGAGAGCCAAGTGAAAGGGGAAACCCCTTATAAAACCATCAGCTCTCATGAGACTTATTCACTACCATGAGAACAGTGTGAGGGAAACAGCCCCCATGATTCAATTATCTCCCACCGGGCCCCTCGCAAAACATGCGGGAGTTATGTAAACTACAATTCAAGATGAGATTCAAGTGAGGACACAGCCAAACCATATCACTTACATTTTTGAGATTAAACATTATTTTAAATTTTATGTATATATACTGAATAAAGATACTTTCATAAATTGCTAAATATACAATGAAGAAACAACACAAATCCTACCGTGTAAAGATCACAATGTACTGTTTGATCTTGGTGTCATTTCTTCTATAGATATTTATGTATTTTAATCAAAATGCTATTTATGTAGTTTGGGAACCTGTTTTTACTTATATTTTCAGTCTTTTAGAGTACACATAACATTATGACATTATTTTTACATAAATTTTTCAATGTTATGTAAATATTTTTTACAGAGGTACATCAAAATTTACTCAATCAAGGTTTTTTTTTCAACTAAGATTTGTATAAATGTATTTAAAAGATAACTAGATGCATAGCCTGGATGAGTGCTCTGGGTAGTTAATAAATAATGGGATTCCCTAGAATTGTCTCCTCAATCCTCTTCTTGCCTAGCTTTATATGTGTTCCTAGTAATCTCCATTTAGTTGCCTAGTTTAGTATCCAAGTAAATGTATATCCCTAGTCTGTTTTCCAAGCTGCAAGTCTTCATACCCCTACATAAATTATAGTTCACGAGTGCTTACAGTGTTCCTGCATATTGAATACTAAAATTTTCTTTCTCATACCATTTCTCCAAAATAAAATCTTCTACTAAATCTGTACTTCAGCTGATGACACTCATTAATCTAAGTCAGAAAACTGTCATGCCTCCAAGACACTTGTCTTTCTCTGATTTCATTTTCACAGTTATTTTCATGGGTGAACATAAAGACCTCTCTAAACTGCCCTCATCTCACCATCTATGATAATACCTTCCTAATGTCAATTTTCTTCATCTTTCACAGGGACTCTTGAACTAATTATATAACTTCTTTTTCTGTCTCCCATCTTTTTTTCCATAGGCCATTATTGTTATTGTACATCCTTATATGTGTTACCTATATGTGATTATTTCATCCTATACTCCTATACTTTCATCCTTCCTGTACTTTCATCCTTCAATGATTTCTCATCTTTATAATAATTTTAAACTTTTTAGGTTATCTACTTCCAAACTAGATTCACTTCTCCTAACTCTGTAGGACACCACATCCTACAGTAATGTCAAAATAATTTGTAGTTTTTACACCTAGCATGTTTAAAACTTTCTCTTCCCAGTATGCTCTTTTTTCTGTGTCTACCTGACAAACTTATTTTTTTCAATTCATTGAAGTTCTAAGGTTCAAAACAAAGGGACTTAATTAAACTGACTCCATTTACTCTGTTGGGAGTTTCACCTCCTCTAAGACCAGCACCTTTTCTCCAAGCAGACACAATTAATCACCAACTTATCCGCAATATGTGTGAACATTATATATATAGTTTAAATACTTCACTTATACTGAGCAATAATCTTAGGATGCAACTTTATCTTTTTGTTTGTTTGTTTGTTTGTTTTGAGACTGAGTCTCGCTCTGTCGCCCAGGCTGGAGTGCAGTGGCGCGATCTTGGCTCACTGCAAGCTCCGCATCCCGGGTTCATGCCATTCTCCTGCCTCAGCCTCCCAAGTAGCTGGGACTACAGGCGCCAGCCACCACCCCCGGCTAATTTTTTAATATTTTTTGTAGAGACGGGGTTTCACTGTGTTAGCCAGGATGGTCTCGATTTCCTGACCTCGTGATCCGCCCGCCTCGGCCTCCCATAGTGCTGGGATTACAGGCGTGAGCCACCGCGCTCAGAGACTGTATCTTTTTTAGACTAGTTTTTCGAAGTAAAGAATTGTGGATTGTTTACTTTTGTAAATCTAGTGCCTTACACAGTGGCTGCCATAAGTAGAAGTGAATTCTTTGTAAATCAAATCTAGCAATAAATGAGTGAAACTAACATAGACAACTATTTAAAGGTCTCTTTTAAAATCATTGAACAATCTCTTACCCCAAACTTGTTTGATTCTGTTTCAGAGCATCTACTTTTGTCATGTGGTTTGTTTCAATGGTTGATTGGTTTTTTTCTCATGTGGTTTGACCAATATTGTCTTCTTGTATTAAGGATATAGAGACTTCTCAATTTCCACAGTTCACACATTAAAATGCAGAAATGTCATCAGCCAAATTTTTCTAGTTCTGGCAATTATTGTTTTCCAATTCAGTACTGCTCAGATAAATTGGTAATTTAAAATCTTAGATATGAATCTCATAGCCAATTCATGCTCTAAAAATTACCTGTACAACTGCTTTCACTGCTGAGCAATATAGGAAATGACTGATTTCTAGGCAGAAAGAAATCTATTAAGATTTCCTCTACTACAATTTTGAAAAAAAGTCCTCAGTCATTCCCTCAGCTGCACAATGAAGTGCCCTACTGTATCCTAACCCTCATTTCAACACAGCCTGCTGGATTCTACTAACTAATACACAGGTAACCCATAGCAGATGAGATACAGACAGGAAATTAGAAACTATGCCAAATATTTTAACTGAAAAATTAATATAAGAAATTAAGCAGTAATTGAAGGACAGAAAGGCAGAGGGTAAAACAGAGGCCTAATAGAAATGACATTTATGGGAAGCAGCTACTGCCTCTAGGGTTTTGTGATGAAAGAGCAGAGGTTGGTGTATGTAAGAACCGAGAAGCTTAGAAAAGGGCCTCCAGAAGGGGGCTCAGACTTCTGATAATAAGGCATTACCTACCTAGGGCATGTGTGTTAGGAATCAAAGCAGGACTACTGATCTGGAGTTCTAACATTGGAGAAGGGGGCAGTGCCTTGCTGTTGTCTCTGATGGCACCAATGAAGCTGGTTCCAAGATAGCAGAAAATACATTGGAGAATAGGCCAGCTGCTTCTGGTGGGGTAAATAATTTTCATTACGATGATGCTGTCAGAACAGTTAATAAACACAAAAGGAATGAGTTCTTTCCCTCTCCTCTTCACTTCCAGGCTCTCTCTGGTGATATATATGTTTGGCCAAAATCCAACAGGGAATGATCTACCAAAGGAGAAATGTGGTTTGCAAAATCTCAGTCCTGGTACAATGAAGTGGAGGCTGAAAGCAGGGATTTGGAACTGAGACAAAAGCTGAATATCCAACACAAAAAACTCTTAGAGGCCTCTATCACTAATTTGATGGCCTGATGTGCATATCAAGTGACAGTTAAATTTAAATTTCAAACATGATTAGGTCCCCTAAACACAGGTTTCATTCTGTGATGTCAGCAGTATCCAGAGTGCTGTCAATCTACAGGTATTAATAACAAGTATGACTGATGCATATTCCTGGTTAATTATTTGTCACTCAGAGAGGCAAAGGCAAATTCTTTGGAATATTTTCATTGGTAAGCATTCAGTAATGTTACCTATTTTGTTTTCCCTCTTTCAAAGAGATACAATTGGCCTAAATGTTTCACAGACTGCTTTAGACTAAATCAATTATGAATTAAATTATTTCCATCACCATGTTCCTCTATATGTGGACAAATACCTAACCAGATGAATTTTATGACTTAGATGAGTACACTCTTGCCCTATCATAAAAGCTGCATGAGTGCATGTTCTATAACTGCACTTATCTGCAATTGACCTGCCCACAATGTCTAACACAGTGGCCAGCCATGCAGTGGGCCCTCACTGTATTTTTTTTGACTAAGTAGGTGCCATTTATTTTTTAAAATATCACCTTGAGAGACTTATTTAATAATTTCAGTGAATAGAATATCAGAATTTTTTTTCAAAATGTCAGTGAGTAGAAAGTGTTAAACTTATTTCTAAAGTTTCTATCATGCAGAAACCTATGCCTTTTAAGCCTCTGACTTCACAAGACAGGCAAATTTTATTTAATGCCTAATTATACAATGTAAATTCAATATGTATGTTTTAATGTTGATTAAAAAGCCTGGTATTTTTAAGTTTCTGTATTTTCATTAAGGAGAATAAAAGCTGCAGGCTGATCTGTTTCTTTCAATCATTCAGTTTCTCATTAAAATACACTTAAAATGTGTCATAAATCACAATCCTCTCTGTGGTCAAACAGAGTACAGTGTGTTGAAGGTCTAAAATACTCTTCAAAAGCATCCACCTGAGATGTAGCACTGAAAATAAAAACATATGTATAAATGCATGCATATATGCATAAAATACATATATACATAAATGCATATATATACACATACGTATTACATATAGTCATATTAGCTTGGAAAATCTATTTACATAAAATATTTTGTAATTGCTTATATTGATAAAAATATTTAAACTAATTATGTAATGAATATAAGATATGCTATCTTATACTATATATTATACTTTATGTTTTATTATTTATATCACTTATATATTTCATATAAATCTGATTTGGTCGTATTGTAACCAATATTTACTAAGGGCTAACTACAGTGTACTCACGGTATAATATATGGAGAACACAAAGACAAATAAGACAGTATTTATCCTCGAGGAACTTGCTGCCTTTTAATTTTTATTTTTAAGTCATAGATCTCTCAATATTTACAGCATGTTACAAATATTTTCTTAGTGGAATGTTAATAATATAATAAATATTTAAAGGAATAATTACCATAATAATACTTTGAATTTCCATAAGATGGTATTTTTTTGAAATGCTGTTACATTCGTTTTTTCTATTTCTTATTTTCATCTATGCATCACTGCTAAGATGTAGAACATTTGCATATTATGTCTGTTTTACACATAAGAAAAAGTCAATGAAAGTTAATAAATAATATTATTTATATACAGTCATCGTTCACATCACAATGTTTCAGTCAACTACAAACTGCATATACCAGGGTAGTTCCCTAAGATTATGATGAAGCTGAAAAATTAGTGACATAGTCATGGTAATGTTGTAGCACAATGCATTCTGGTGTGTTTGTGGTGATGCTGACATAAACAAATGTACTGCACCACGAGTCTTATTAAAATGTACACAATTATCCTAGGCCATCACATCCATTCACCACTCATTCACTCAGTGACTCACCCAGAGCAATTTCCAGTCCTGCTAGCTCTATTCATGCTAAGTGCTATTAAATTAAGTTTAGCCTAAAGTTTCTTCCTTAAAGTTACGCCCAAAGGTTTCTCTGTACATAATGAACTGTAACCTAACTGGATGTGTAAATAGACTGTAATCTACTCTTGTGCCCATCTGGCTTCCACCAGCCAACTCTTCAAACTGTGTTGGAAGAAGGCAAATGCAAAGTTATAACCTAATCAGCAGTTTCTGTACCTCACTTCGATTTTCTCTATGTCACTTTCCTTTTTCTGTCCATAAATCAACCATACTCTACACCTATTCTGGTCCAGAGGCTGACTAGTTCTTTGCTCAATTAAACTCTGTTAAATTTAATTTGTATAAGGCTCTTCTTTTAACAGTGCCCTATACAGGTGTACCATTTTTTATCTTTTATATCATATTTTTACTGTACTTCCTCTATGTTTACATACGTTTAGATACACATACAGTCACCATTGTGTTAAATGTCCTGCAGTATTAAGCACAGTAACATGTTATACCGGTTTGTGGCCTGGAAGTAATAGGCTACACCACAAAGCATAGGTGTGTAGTAGGCTATTACTTGTAAGTAGATTCTGTGATGTTCCCACACTGACACAATCACCTAATAATGCATTTCTCAGAACATATCGTTGTCGTTAAATGATGCGTGACTGTATTGTATTCATTTTATATGTAAATAAATTTAAAAGTTGAATTTTAAAAATTGTTTTCACACTTATTATTTATTCGCATATCATAAAAACCTGCAGCTTTCTGGAATTTAAAACAAAAGCTTAGTTTGCTGTTTTCCCTTGAGATGGTTAGGTTGTCTAAAGTTTCCAAGTATAAAAGCCAATGTAAAACTTTGATTATTCTTTGACATTCCTTCAGGATCTAATTTATGTGTTTCCTTTTGTGATTCCCTGCTCCCAAAGCAGACTGCGTTGCCTACTCATCTGTGCTCCAGTGGCGAAATTCTTAATTCTGCCTTAGAAAATGTATTGCATATAAACACTTCCCAGATCTTCTCAGACATATGTTGAAGTTATTTTATTGGATATTAAAGGAATAAAGACCTTAAACCATTAAGGTTTTGAAGACACTTAGGTTACATTTCTCTATATAAACTCATTCATATGTTACGAATTCAGAATGGCATCTGAGATCCTAGATCCCATAATTTGGGTCTTCTTACTGAAGGATAAATGGCCAAAGAGGAAAAACAAAATATTCTGTTAATCTAGGCAAGCATGTGATAGCTCTGAATACAGGAATGTTCCAGTAAACTCTAATGGAACTAAGGCAGGACACCTGTAAAAATTACTTTGTGAGTGTAGTCGATGCTTTCTCTCGCTGTTCACAACCACAGTTTTAGCCAAGAGAACAAGGAAATGCCAATCCCAAGTACACCTCAGAGAGTAGCAGTAAAGGCATGAAAGAAAGTCAGGTTTGGGCAGAAGAAGCTGGCTCGCAATGCATTTGCAAGTAAGGATGCAATTGATTCCAGGAGGTGGTGTGGAGCTGGGATGGTTCTTCATATTTGTCCCAAATAGAGGCAAGGACCAGGACTTAATCTTCTCACATTAGCCAGCCAGTGACTGTAGGCAGATCTCTGGAAGGTGTTGTAACCTTGGGAAGACATTGTCCTATCACAGAAGGAAAGTTTTAGTGAGAGCCACAGGAGTATGCATTCAACAGATGATATCTTTATTAGGAGAGGGATGGATGTGTTGCCCCTCAAAGAGAGCTTTAAACAGATCATCAGTTTACTTATGACAATACTCTTTCAAAGATTAAATGTTTTCTGGCTGGGCGCCGTGGCTCACCCCTGTAATCACAACACTTTGGGAGGCCGAGCGGGTGGATCACGAGGTCAGCAGTTTGAGACCAGCCTGGCTAACATGGTGAAACCCCGTCTCTACAAAAAATACAAAAATTACTGGGGGCGGTGGCAGGAGCCTGTAATCCAAGCTATTAGGGAGGCTGAGGCAGGAGAATTGTTTGAACCCAGCAGGTGGAGGTTGCAGTGAGCCAAGATCGTGCCATTGCACTCCAGCCTGGGTGACATGGCAAGACTCAGTCTCAAAAAACAAACAAAAAGATTAAACGTTTTCTTCTATTTCTTCTGAGGTTTATTTCTAGGATGCTATTCTTTCGTTGCTACAAATAATGCAGCTATTTATTACCTTACACTTTCTAAAACATTTTTAATGTACAAAAACTGTTGATTTTGTCTATTAATTATGTAACAAGCCATTTACTGAATTTAAATTCCATTTTATTATCTTATGTATATGATAATCCATCTGCATTATCTAGTCTATCCCTGACTTAAAATAGCAATCTATTCATGGAAAAACAAAACTAGGTCTGTTCTCATCATTAGAAAAATAAGCATCAGTGACATTACTGGTTTACAATTTCTTCTATAGTTAACAAACAAAACAACCATGTGATAGTCAATGTAATTGAAACTATAATGCAAAAACATACAAAAGAACAGTGCAGACAAAATAAATCCATACTAACAAATAAAATGATGCATGGACTACTGCACATTCACAAAACATGGGTTTTCTGAAGGAAGACCTTAACACTATGGTGCCAACTCCTTGCCTGGATGAATGGTGAAAGAAAATATATATACAATGGGATATTACTGGGACATGAAAAGGAATAAAAGTTTGTCATTTGTAGCAACATGAATAGAACTAAAGGTTGTTATGTTAAGCGAAATAAGCCAGAAACAGAAAGACAAATGTCACATGTTCTCTCTCCTATTGGGAGCTAAAAAAAAAAAAAAAATGATGTCACAGAGATAGAGAGTAGAATGATAGTCACTAGAGGATGGGAAGGGTGCATATGCGTGGGGCGGGGCAGTGGCAGGGGATAAAGAGAAGTTGGTTCATGGTACAAACATACAGAAAGATAGAAGGAATAACTTCTAATGTTTGATAGCAGAGTAGGATAACTATAGTCAGCAACAACATATTGTATATTTCAAAATAGCTAGAAGAGAGGATTTGAAATGCTCCCAACACATTATATAAGTGATAAATGCTCCAGGTGATAGATAACCTGAATCCCCTGACTTGATCATTACATATTCTGTGCATGTAATAAAATTAGACATGTACCCCATAAAAATGTAGAAACATTAAGAGTCAATTTCATTATGTGTCCATTTATTTTTAAAGAAGGTAACTGCTGACTGCTTTCCTTTTTCTTGTTCTCAAGCCTTGGGAAATCCTAATCAGTTCAATCATGCAAAGAAGTGCCTCCCAGCAAAGAACAAAAAAAGTATATGGAAGGTAATTCTCTGTAATGCCCAATGCTTATAAGCCAAGTGGGCACATTAGAAGTCACATATGTTGGCCGGGCGCGGTGGCTCACGCCTGTAAGCCCAGCACTGTGGGAGACTGACGTGGGTGGATCACGATGTCAGGAGATTGAGATCACACGGTGAAACCCCGTCTCTATTAAAAATACAAAAAAATTAGTCAGGAGTGGCGGCACACGCCTGTAGTCCAAGCTACACGGGAGGCTGAGGTGGGAGAATGGCGTGAACCCAGGAGGCGGAGCTTGCAGTGAGCCGAGATCGCGCCACTGCACTCCAGCCTGGGCAACAGAGCGAGACTCTGTCTGTCTCAAAAAAAAAAAAAAAAAAAAAAAAAAGAAGTTACATATGTTGTGATAGTATTTTCGCTCTTTCTGAATTTTCTTTTTTTTTAAGTTATTATTATACTTTAAGTTTTAGGGTACATGTGCACAACGTGCAGGTTAGTTACATACGTATGCATGTGCATTGTTGGTGTGCTGCACCCATTAACTCTTCATTTAGCATTAGGTATATCTCCTAATGCTATCCTTCCTCCCTCCCCCCACACCACAACAGTCCCCAGAGTGTGATGTTCCCCTTCCTGTGTCCATGTGTTCTCATTGTTCAATTCCCACCTATGAGTGAGAACATGTGGTGTTTGGTTTTTTTTCCTTGCCATGGTTTGCTGAGAATGATGGTTTCCAGTTTCATCCATGTCCCTACAAAGGACATGAACTCATCATTTTTTATGGCTGCATAGTATTCCATGATGTATATGTGCCACATTTCTTAATCCAGTGTATCATTGTTAGACATTTGGTTCCAAGTCTTTGCTATTGTGAATAGTGACACAATAAACATACATGTGCATGTGTCTTTATAGCAGCATGATTTATAATCCTTTGGGTATATACCCAGTAATGGGATGGCTGGGTCAAATGGTATTTCCAGTTCTAGATCCCTGAGGAATTGCCACACTGACTTCCACAATGGTTGAACTAGTTTACAGTCCCACCAACAGTGTAAAAGTGTTCCTATTTCTCCACAACCTCTCCAGCACCTGTTGTTTCCTGACTTTTTAATGATTGCCATTCTAACTGGTGTGAGATGGTATCTCATTGTGGTTTTGATTTGCATTTCTCTGATGGCCAGTGATGATGAGCATTTTTTCATGTGTTTTTTGGCTGCATAAATGTCTTCTTTTGAGAAGTGTCTGTTTATATCCTTTGCCCACTTTTTGATGGGGTTGTTTTATTCTTGTAAATTTGTTTGAGTTCATTGTAGATTCTGGATATTAGCCCTTTGTCAGATGAGTAGGTTGGAAAAATTTTCTCCCATTGTGTAGGTTGCCTTTTCACTCTGATGGTAGTTTCTTTTGTTGTGCAGAAGCTCTTCAGTTTAATTAGATCCCATTTGTCAATTTTGGCTTTTGTTGCCATTGCTTTTGGTGTTTTAGACATGAATGAAGTCCTTGCCCATGCCTATGTCCTGAATGGTATTGCCTACGTTTTCTTCTAGGGTTTTTATGGTTTTAGGTCTAACATTTAAGTCTTTAATCCATCTTGAATTAATTTTTTTATAAGGTGTAAGGAAGGGATCCAGTTTCAGCTTTCTACATATGGCTAGCCAGTTTTCCCAGCACCATTTATTAAATAGGGAATCCTTTCCCCATTTCTTGTTTTTGTCAGGTTTGTCAAAGATCAGATGGTTGTAGATATGCGGATTATTTCTGAGGGTTCTGTTCTGTTCCATTGGTCTATATCTCTGTTTTGGTACCAGTACCATGCTGTTTTGGTTACTGTAGCCTTGTAGTATAGCTTGAAGTCAGGTAGCGTGATGCCTCCTGGTTTGTTCTTTTGGCCTAGGATTGACTTGGCAATGAGGGCTCTTTTTTGGTTCCATATGAACTACTATTTTAAATTTAGTTGAAAGGAATTGGTTGACAATAGTCAGCATCTTATCCTGATCCTTAATGAGATATTCATGTGCTTCATCATTAATTATGATGAGAGATTTTTCTCTATCTCACTCATTTTCTATTTATGCAAAGACATAAAGTTGAAATAGAGAATGAAATATATCAACAATCAAAGGAAAATGTGTTAAGGAAGTATTCTAATTTCTCATTTTGCTCTAAACTAATTGATGTGCTATTATTATTTTACTTTCTGTGCTGTTACTGCAGACACCATTATTCATTGTATTATTATTTTGTTGTTTAAATATTTTACTTGTAATTTTTCTCAAGGACTCTGGAGACTACAATCTATTTATATTTAAATATTTCCACATATCTTCCGTTATCTTCCAAGTTGAATGAAGTTTTGGTTAGAAAAAAATTTATGTAAATTTTCTTAAATTCTTAGAATTTGCTTCCCTGAGCTCTATCAGTGATTGCTGCTATGGATAGACCTTAATCTAGCCTGATATTTCTATTTTTAGTTTTTTTCCTCATATGTATGATTTCTGATTTGGATACGCAGATAATTATTCACTGATGAATCCTAACAAATTTTAAAAATTGATCTTGGCATAAATATATTTGAGTCATGTTTGCCGGAAGTCCAGTTGCCTGCTTTTAATATTTACATTCAAGTTTTTATTGAAATTATAGTATTCAATAAGTTTTTTAAAAATGTTTTTCTAGATTTATTTTTATTTATTCTTTTCTCTTCTTCAAAAATACTGATTATACAACTATGCAGGAATAACCTTTATCTCTTTCATGTGAATTATATGCTCTTGTCTCTTTCATTTTCATCACTATTTCTTCTCCTAGTCTAACATATCTATAACTATATTTAAGTTCTTATTAATGGAGTTCTCTTTCTTTTTTTGTTACTCTTCTATGCTCTTATTTCCACTCTTCCTCTTAAATTAACAATATGCTTTCGTTTTCCTGATAACTTTTGTTTTTCCTTGAATTTATTTTCTAAGGCTTGAAAGCTCAAAATTGATCTTACTAGTTTTGTGTAATTTCTTTCTTAAGCCACTGTAGATCTTTTTTGAAGCCTGTAAATCCAGAGGCCATATTGTAACTATATTCTTAGATTTCATGGGAAATACTTTTTATCAGAATGTTTACCTTTTAGAGTCCTTTAGAGTGTCACTTTTCTGATTTGGTAATATTTCTGTGATTTCTTATTCTTGTTATTATTTTCCTTTTTCCTATTTTCTGTGCAACATTTTTAGAAATTTTCCACAATTCTTTTATTTTCAGTTATTGCACATAGTTGAATATAGGAAGCTCATCATGGAGCAATCATTTTCTAGAAATACAGTGAGGAGGTAAGGCCAGAAGATGGATAAAGGGCTCCAGGCAACTTGAACAAAGGAAACTGGTGTTTCATTATAATGTCTTGCCAATTTTTCATTCCCAATCTTGCTTTTAGGCATTCTTGTGCAGGTTAATATCAATCCTGACACACTGAAAACATTCCAAAGCATATTTGTGATAAATTATTTGTATTTGTAACATTTTATCCTTCACTTATGCTCAGATGACAAAGATAGGTAGCTGCATGTGTCTTTCCTCTATATTCTCCTTCTATCCTGCCTTATATTTGTATATTTTTGTACAAAGATGAAATATCCTAATTTTTTAACTTTCAGAAGACAGGTTCAATTTCACTTGCAGAATACACATTTGTTGCAAATACAAAATTTTTATTTTCATCCTCACGGTGTCTTATCTGCTTGGTAGAACTCTGTGCTTTGCCTGCCTTGTAAAGAGAAAGAGGAGGAGAAGGAAGATGTAAAGAGGGGAGAGGGATAAAAAGAGTGAAAGAGAGGATTACTTTATTTGAAATTACATTTTAATATCATTTTTAATATCTTTCAAAAAAAAGGTAACCTTGGGAAACCTAAATTTTCAACTAGAGTTAGAATGGGAAAAAATGATAATGGTAATTGGGAAATAAGTGACAGAATAGTGCTTTGGTTATTATTATTAATATTATCCTGTTCCCAGGTTTTGGAAACAGGATAATAATAATAATAATAATAATAATAATAATAATAATAAGAATAAAAACTTCCAGCTTACAATTCTAGGAGAAAAAAAATAAAAACTGATTCAAGCACCCTACACATCCTCATTGAGCACATTTTTAGTGACGTACGTAAAATACCACTAAGTGGGGAAAAAAATCTGTCATATATTTATTCTATCAGGCAAAACATTAAAAAAAAAACCATGATTTCCCTTGAGTGTTAAAGTTCTAAAACAAGAAGAGTGGTGGACTGCAAGAGATAAAAAGTCAAAAGTTAAACTATTCAAAGATATTTCATTTAGAAAGCCAAATATTTTTGAAATTTATATAAATTTTAACCTAATAAGTTCAAAAAAAGTATATACTGATACATATTGTAAAAAATAGCCTCAAATCTCTACAAATTGAGATATTTGAGTGAAAGTTCTAGGTTTTAATGACTTTTTAAGCAACTCCATTTGCTTTGATTTATTTTAAAGAATAATAGCAAGCATTTTACATCTTCATTTTGTAAGTCCCTTTGAAATTACTATCAAATAATTTTAATATTTTGTAATTTGTTAGAATGTGATGTAAGTCTATCAAGGGTAGAGGAAGGAAAAGACCAGCAGGGAAACCTTGATGTTAATAAAGTTACAATACCTACTAAGTATGACATGGTGACAGTCTCATGGGGTGGACATATGGGAAAATGAAAGAAAATGCTATTCAAGGGAGATGATTTTGTGTAATAATTAAGATCCTGGACTTAGATGCCAGCCAATGTGGTTAGAATCTTTTCTCTTCCACACCAGCAGTGAGATCAACAAGGTACATAAATGTTCTGTCTCAATTTTCTCATCTGTAAATAGATGATAATGGTAATTGCTGCATAGGGCCAGTTGGATTATTAAATGAGCTAACTCTTAACATTATTTAGAAACATAACAGTTACATTGTAATTACTATCAGGATTTGTCATAATTACTATTATTGTTATTATAATTATTGATAGCACTAGTAATTTATAACCAAAGTTGTAAGAAGAAAATTAATTTTAAAATGGGAAAAAAAAGGGAGAGAATAGCAGAAAGTTGTGAAGACAGTGGTGTCACTGAGTCTTGAAGGCCTGTGGCCAACATCAACTTGCTATGATTCAAAGTATTGGGCTCAGACCTACAAGATAGAGGTTTGGGTAAAGTTGCCTTTAGTTCATGAAAAACTAAACAGAAAAGAAAATTAGTTTGCCAGATCTAAAAAATTAGTGTAATTTGCAGGCTACTGATTCAAAGATTCATGGAAGAGAAACAATAACTTAAATTCAGTTAATCAAAATAAGACTTAAGTGGTAGAAAAAGATTTTTTAAAATCTAATTATAGAGACAAAACATCAGAAGAGACTAAAAGAAAATCTCACTTGAGATTGTGAGGCCTAATATTTTGCCTAAGCCTTCCACAGTTTCTTATATCAAATCAAATTTAGGGTACAGGATCTGCAAAGACAGTTCTGTGAGTATGAACGAATCGATCAGCCCCAGCAGATCTACTCTCTCTCTTCCTCCCATTTTTCATCAGGAAACTAGCCTGCAACAACGTCCCTGCTTCTCTGGCTTCTGCTTGGGTTGCACAAACAGAAGAGCCTCAGAAGAATATTGAAGAAAAAGAGCAAGTGTGCTTATTCACTCACTTGGATTTCTCCCTGTGGGATTGGTTCAGGCTGCCTGTATCCCTCTAGGGGGTTTGTTCAGCTTCCTCTAAAGGTTCTTCAGTCCTAGGAGTGATGACAGAGCCCTACTGTTACTGGCCCTGAGGTGCTGAATTCTGCGTCTCAGGTTTCCTATACGTTGTCTGTTTATTTTTAACTGTCTTTAGTTTCAGTCTCATTGTGCCAGCTGATTCCTGTAAGACCCTAAGAAATGCAACGTCTTCAAATGTCAGGCTAGCGTATGTACTTATTAGAGGTTATACTCATAAATAAACACAATTTTAACTCAATGTGCACCCTCCATCTCTTCCTTTTTCTCCTTTATTCTCTTACCATCTCCCTTTCTTCTTTTCCTCTTTTTTCTTCTCCTTCTCTTACTCTACCTCTTCCATCTTTTAATTTATAGATGTTTTTAGAGAAATTTTAGTTTTACAGAAAAAGTAAGTTGAATGTATAGAATTTCTGTATTACCTTGTCTTCCATCCCCCTAGTTCTCCTTATTATTAAAAGCTCTCATCTGCATGGTACATTTGTAAAAATTGATGTCAATATTGAAACACTATTATTAATTAAATTCTATAACCTACATTAGGATTCATTGTTTGCATTGTACATCCTATGATTTTTTTTCATTTTTTTTCACTCAACAAATACTTATACCATAACTACAAGATGTTGGGTATTCAAAAGGCAGAAAATGAAACAGAGACCGCCTCTGGTTTCATGGAGCTTAAGTTCTCATGCAAGAATACAGAAAATAATCAAATAATTATTTAGTGTGTTAGGCAATGATATCTACTTTGGAGGAAAATAAAGCAGGGTTAAGGAACAAATTAGTGGGTTGGGTATTTTAGAAAGTAGTCAGAAAAAGTTGTTCTGAAAAAATGATGCTTAAGTACAGAAAGAAGGTGTAGAGCTAAGTGAGGAACTGTGGATCATATAGATTGCCTAGGAGAAGAGCATTCCAAAGAGAAAAACAAAAAAGCAAGTCCTGACATCTACTAACAAAAATAGATGCTTCCCTTTCTGCCTTTGTAGCTAAGGTGAAAAAAATTTATGTTAATCTGATGAATTACAAAAATCAGAATGCTTCCTGGAAACACAGTAAATGAGGCAAAATAGTAGAATACTTGGTGGTTTACTCTTTAGTATATTTGTTTTCTAACTATACTACTTTAAATGATGCTATATGGGAACACTCTGTATGACAGTGGGTAATTTTTCAGTTTAACCTTAGATTTTTTTTTTCAATTCAATCATTAAAAAAATTTAAATCTTGCAGTATTTAGTTTACTGGCTTACTTTAGAAGAATCCGATTTTAAGATAATTAAAGTTCATAGCAAGTAAATTCAGACATTTTCTAATAACAGTTATATTTAGAAATCTCAACTGTAGATTTGTCTCGATATGTCATAATAACATCTTAAACACATCTAAACTGCTTTAAATTGTGTCGGTCCACCTGAAAGTTAAGATTATTTCACTATGTGTTATAATTATTTTATATTGAATTCACTTAAATAGGTATATTTTGAATAAAGAGACATAAAATATAAATATATTTATATATATAAATATATATTTATATATATTTATAATAAATATATTTATAAATAAATATTTATATATTTACATATTATATAAATATAAAATTATATATAAAAATTATATAAATATATATATAATTCAGCTTTCTAGAATTCAGTTAAATCAGCTGTCTGGGGCATCTCTACCAAGAATATTTTGTTTTGTATAAACTTCTCTGATTTTATTATTATGATACTTACCAATTAAGACTATAAACATGCATAACTGTGTAAAACTGCATTTCCATATTGAAAATATGACAATTTATTAAGGCTGTAACAATATTTAAAACACTAAGAAACTTTATCCAAATTAATTACCGTTGAAAGAAATATGCTAACTTCATGCCGAACTAACTTCAGCCAGGAAAAGTGCTGTCACCAGACACTGCATCTGTGGGCACTTTGATCTTGGACTGCTTAGCTTCTGGAGCTGTGAGAAATACATTTCTGTTGATATAAGCCACTCGTATATTAGATTCTACACATTATAATGATAAACCAAAATTTATAAAATAATGCTCAATGTCATGAAACATTAGGGTAACAATGAGCTGCAAATACATACCTATTATAATTTGAAAAATATATAATATACAAATACAATATATGAAAATCCAATAAGTCAACAGACTGAGTGCTCACAAAAAGTCAACAAAAATGATACCTTCATTCATTTCTGGTGGGAATGAAAAATGGTACAGCCATTCTGGCATATTCTATTTTAAGTTAAATATGCAATTAACCATAAGACCCAGCAATCCCACTAATAGGTATCCACCCTAGATAAATAACATCTTATGTTCATGCAATAATCTGTACATGTGAATTTATAGCAGGTCTATTTATAATTGACTAAAATTAGAAACAACCCAAATGCACATCAATCGATGAATGGACAAACACACTGTACATACACATTCAATTTATTACTACTAAAAATGAATAAATTAACTATACATGCAATGTTGTGAATGAATTTCAAATGCATTATTCTGGATGAAAGAAGCCAGTGTTAGGTTATATACTGTATGATTCCATGTGATATTCTGGAAAAGGTAAAACTACAGGAAAGAAGAACAGGTTAGTTGTTGCCAAGAATTGAGATCAGGCAAAGTTTTGGCTACAACAAAGACAGCGCCATGGAATATCTTGGAATTATAGAATTGCTCTGTATTCTGATTGTGGTGGTGGTTATACAAATGTATACATATGCTAATGTCCCTGGAACCATACACCAATAAAGTAAATTGTATGGTATGCACGTGGGAATCCATAATAATCATAAAGTTCATGATAAACTAGGAATAAAAAAATTCAATTCGATAAAGAAAACCAAAAAGAATATCATATTCAATAGACAATTCATAAAAACATCCCCTGCTAATGAGACAAGAGTGTCTAGTAGTACTACTTCTGTAAAGCAGTATACTAAAGGTCCTCAACAGTATAGGAATTGGAAATAAATATATAAAACTTTTATTATTGCTCACTAGCAATAATAAAAAAGCATCTACAAAAAGCATGATTTTGTACATAGAAAATCTAGAATAACTACTGAATATTACCTCTAATATATGAATATAATTTAATTCTTCTATATGTGTAATAAAAAGTGAGAGAGAGAGAGAGAGAGAATGGAAGTGGTGGAGGGAAGGAGAGAAAATAAATTAATTAGTAATTAGTAAGGAGATCTAAAATACGTTGAACTATAGTATTATCTAGTAATGAGGAGATTTTAATCTTGAGAAAATGAAATGAATCATTATCCAGGATAAAGCATAAATATATATGATATACATGATAAAATACATGTAAATTCATAATAATTACAAAGTAAAATATTTGAATTTATATTTGAACTAATTTCTCCCTTTCATAAATTAAAGGCTTCGGCTCTTAAGAGCAGTCCTATAACACAGAGGTTGACAAACTATGGCCCATGAACTAAATCTGGCCCTCTGCCTATTTTACAGTCCATAGTAAAGGCTGGTTTTAATGTTTTTAAACGGTCAGGGCAAAAATCAAGAGATATTGCATGATATATGAAAAGTATATGATATTCAAAATCCAGTGCCCATAAATAATGTTATATCAGAGCACAACCGTGCTCATTTGTTTATATACTGTCTATGGCTTCTTTCATGCTAAACTGTAGTATTGAGTGTTTGAGACAGAGACTATACGGAATGCAATACCCAAAATATTTACTATCTGACCCTTTACAGAAAAGGTTTTCTGACCTGTGTTTTAGCACATAGTGCACTGAGAGAAGATAGCATTGCCATCTAGGCATATTGTTGAAAGGGACCGATGGAGGCAGCTGAAGGATTCTAATATTTTGTACTGTCCTATTACATATTTCTGCTCTTGTTATTTCTGTTGTTTGCTTGTTTGTTTGAGATGGAGTCTTGCCTGTCGCCCAGGCTGGAGTGCAGTGGCGTAATCTTGGCTCATTGCAAGCTCCGCCTCCCAGGTTCAAGCGATTCTCCTGCCTCAGCCTCCCAAGTAGCTGAGATTACAGGCAAGGGCCACCACGCCTGGCTAATTTTTGTATTTTTAGTAGAGACAGGGTTTCACCATATTGGCCAGGCTGGTCTCAAACTCCTGACCTCGTGATCTGCCTGCCTCGGCCTCCCAAAGTGCTAGGATTACAGGTGTGAGCCACCACGCCAGCCTCTGCTCTTCTATCTTAAAGAAGTGTGGAATAAGCCTATCTCAAGGCTTTTCCTAGCGGCTTTACACACAATCTCCTCTTTAGAGAATCTGGTATTATACAGATTAACTCTCTTACTGAATGAATGCATCTGTGATTAATGCACATTTTGCTTACTGAATGGGATTCTCATGGCTCAAATGATTTTTTGCAAGCTTATTTCCTGCATGTACTAATTGGAAATTTTAAATCATGGATAGTTTGCACCCATACTCCATTTTATTAATTTAGTGAAAATATGTATTTTTTGTCTTTCCTGTAGGCTTTCTTTCAGGATCCATGCTTCCCCTATTCCATGCAGAAGATCAAAGATTAAGTTAGGCCAGTTGGAGTCAGGGAACTGTCTGCTGTCAGGTGGAATTTTTCTTTTTTAAATCTGTTTAGAATCTTGACTTCTGAGCACAATATAAGGTTCTCCGTGTACCAGTATTCCCCAACTATGTGTTAAGCTGCGTTCAATAAGAGAGAATGAGCTCCACACTCAGAAATGCTGAAAGTCAGAAAATAAAGAGTGAGAGATCTAAGAGTGTTTTTGTTTTTTTTTTTAACTGCTGGTAAAAGAAGTGCAGGAAACAAGCAAATCTCTGGATATCTTAGTCATGTGAGTCCAGTTAATTGGCTGTCTTCTTTCCTTAGGATAATCTAGTTGCAATTTGTGGTTTAATTCTTGTAAACAATGTATCCTTGCTGAAAGAGTCACATTCTAGATTTGTATTTACTTTTTCAGGATTTTCTCCTTTTATGGTTTAATGAATATGAAAAAAAATTATGTTCTTTATTTTTAAACAGAAAGAGCTCCTCCTATCAGTTTGTCAAAACTGTTTCTTGAGACACAACATTCTATTTTAATAATAGATATAGTTCATGTAAAGGCTTTCCTTTGTTTTTTATCCTCATTCATGATATAGTAAAATATATATCTGATCCAGTTTCTAAATTTTAAAATAATGTTGTTACGAGCCTTTAATCAAAAAATCGGTATGAAAACTTTTAGGAAGGTAGAACAATTCATCAGATTGCATTAGCATTTTCATTGGTTTATTAAAGTGACAATTCTTTTGTCTCTATTATTATATTTATATCTACGGTATGTTATTTCCTAATTTTAAAATGTGTTTTGAGACTTTTTCATTTACGGGTAACTAGAAAAATGTAATACACAAAGGGCATCACAATATCATGCTGTTGGCCAGCTGATTTCCTGTCTTCCATGACTACTGATGGAAGTTTCTTTGGGCTTAAGGAGGTAGCTGAAAGTAAAAGCAGAGAGAGCTTATTGGTAAATCAAATTAAAAAAAGTTGAAGACCTTGGAAATAAAAATTTGAAGCTAATTTGATAGTGTGGTATGTCCTTTTTCAATGATGCTTCACTTATCAGGATAGTTTATGAAAACTCATGCTTCTCATAGAAAACATTATAACAAAGCTTGAATTTGTCACTTCTTCAGAATACTAATAATATTTATTTCACTGGCTCAAGTTTTCAAAAAAAAGAGTAACGTGTTGTGAATGATTAATACACCTTAATTTTACTTTATATACTTAGGAATTTATCTTCTCAGAAAATATATAAATACATTAGGAGCTTATTTTCTTTATATGTAGAAATTATCATAAAATATAATATTATTTCTTATAGTTTTAATCTTCAGAAATGTTTAACCATATACAATATGGAATAAAAGTAAAATGATTATAGTGTATGAAACATTTTAGTGGTAGATTTCCAGAAAAGTTATACATCTAATTTCCAAATCACTTCTCAAATCTGCTAGAATTTGAAACACAGAACAGAATAATATACTTGGAAAGTGAATTTAACCAATATAAACACACACACACACACACACACACACTCATACCCACCCATACCCACCTGTGCTCACTCAAGTCTGCTCTTGAAAGAAAATCAAAAGAGTAAGAAAGAAGTGCCAGTTATAGATGCTGAAAAAAATCATTTTTTTTGTATTATTGCATAGTCCAGGCTGTTTATGAGCAAATATCAAAAAATTTCTTTCTGTTCATAAAGTTAGGAAAGCCAGTTTTTTTATTGTTAGTTAAAATATGGCAGTCTCATTTGATAACCTATACATTGCATTGACAGGAATAAACAAGCATAAAACAAAAAGGCATATAGGAAAACACAAATAGAATCTTTAAAATAGCATGGGTAAGCATTTATATAAGAGAAAGAAGCAGAAAAATGAGGAGTAGCAAGAAATAAAACATACTTTTTTTTCTGGTGGTACAATATATGACAGAAAGTTAAGATGGAATCCTTTTTTTCTTTTCATTTTTTTTTTGTCTCAGTTTTGGCAAAAAAAAAAATGGAATATTGTAAAGTATCCTCAGATCCTAAACTGAAGAGGTGACCCACCTATGAGAAGCATATTATGACTATGAAATAGGTTCTGCTATCTTTGGTTTGCATGAAAATCGAAGATTGAAACATTCTGTTAGGAGAGATAATTTCAGAATTCTGGCCTTGATCTTCTTTTTGGGAATGGAGAAAGGTGTTTCTCCCTTTTCTTAAAGCAAATAGAGAGAAGCTTTATGATAACCATTTAACAGGCTTTTATGTGTTCCCTGAAGTTCGAGAGACACTGGAATACTAGTTGATTCTGGCCAGGAGAACTCTTAATATGGCAATGGAATGTAAACCAGCAGCACAAGGATGGTGTGTTTCTATGTCCTATATATTGGGTATGTTTCTTATGGACCAAATTGAGAATTGGGCAATCTATCTATGGTTATCCTAAAAAAGATCTCGCCTTAAAAAATGGCTACAGGTTTAAAAGAGGAGCAGATTTCTTGAAGCTTGAGGGCTGAGAAGATAGCAGAAACTTCCACCACAAGGAACATGTTTGTATCAAGGAAACTATGATTGGATCAGATATTAGAGAGCAAGACCCATCAATTGCACGATTACCATGAGAAGGTACTGTTGCAGGATTCAGGAGGACGAGAGAGACCTCGGGTTGAAACAGGAGAATCTTTATTGAATGCACTCAGGCCCAGCTGACTGATGTCCAAAAGACTGCGCCCGGAACAAAGACAGTACTTGACTTTTATACACACTTCACAAAAGGGGGTTGGCTAGCTTGAAGCAAGCTTACAGTGGGGTGAAAGCAGGGATACAGAGGCAAGACAAAGACAGGATTTCACATGACCACTGCCAAGCAATCCAGATGTCCATTATCTAGGTTTGCCTGGGCACCGGCTTATCCTATAACCTTCGCTATGGTGCCCAGGCAGCTGTAGTTCAGGCCTACTCAGGTGTCTCATGACCTTTGTTGTACTTCTTAGATAAAACAGAATACTTGAAGTCACTAGTTACAGAGAACAGGAATCTATAAACTCATTTCATAAAACAAAGTAAAATTTGTTTTTCTTCTCTCTTTGTTGAGGGATTGCTGGGAGAGTCTCTAGAGCACATTAGATGATATTATCAAGACATTTCCTGGGTCTGGGCTGTGCCTATTGCTGACTTTGGGACAAGTCAGCCTAATACAGGACAACTTATTTCACTTTCTTTTAAATTTTATCTTTCTTTAATTTCCCGCCTCAGTACCAACACCAAAAGATATGTCTTCAGTCATATAAGAACCATTCAGCACTTTATTATTCCACAATCACTTATCCCACCTCCTCCAACCCTGATGAACCAAAAATAGCAGATGCAGAATTAGGTAGACAGAGAAGGAAAGAAAGAAAGAAGTAGCAGCCCCTCTGCAGGCTTTATGACCTGAGGTAAGATGGAGTTGGAATTGGGTAGAAATGTTAACCTGAATTTTAAAACGAAGCTTTAACAGCAAACAAAGGAGGTTTATTTAATTACTGAAAAGAGATTCTACTTGTGATTGACATGGACTGGGAACAAAACTTTATTCAATTCCCCAACCCCACATGCCTCTCAAAAATTTAGAGCATTATTTTTAAAATATGTGGAGAAATAAAACTGTGTGTGCTCGCCCTCAACTAAGTCTCACTTGTTCAATATGGTTAAAATGTAATGCCTAGGATGTCACATGACAGAAATAGATGAGGCTCTAGAGACCATTTGAGAATGAAATTGAAGGAATGTAGGGGGACAATTAGAAGAGTAATAAGTACAGGCCAGGTGCAGTGGCTCATGCCTGTAATCCCAACACTTTGTGAGGCTGAGGTGGGCAGATTGCTTGAGTCTAGGAGTTTGAGATCAGCTTGGGCAACATGGCAAAACCGTGTCTCTACAAAAAATAGAAAGAAAAAAAATTGGACAGGTGTAGTGGCAGGTGCCTGTGGTCCTAGCTGCTTGGGAGGTTGAGGTGGGTGGATCGCGGGAGCCTGGGAAGTCAAGGCTGCAGTGAGCTGTGACTGTGCCCCTGCACTCCAGCCTAGGTCACAGAGCAAGACCCTGTGTGAAGAAAAACAAACAAAAAAGAAAACCAACAACAATAAAGAAGAGTAGTTCATACATATTGACAACACATTATGCTAATTCCAAAATTTTGAATAAGAATTGTTTATTTTTATTTATTTTTATTTTTTTGCAGTCTCTCACTGTTGCCCGGGCTGGAGTGCAATGGTGCGATGTTGGCTCACTGCAACCTCCATCTCCCGGGTTCATGCGATTCTCCTGCCTCAGCCTCCTGAATAACTAGGATCACAGGCGCACACTGCCATGCCCGGCTAAGTTTTTTGTATTTTTAGTAGAGATGGGATTTCACTATGTTGGCCAGACTGGTCTCAAACTCCTGACCTTATGATCTGCCTGCCTCAGCCTCCCAAAGTGCTAGGATTATAGGCGTGAGCCACTGCACCCAGACAGGATCGTTTTCAATATGATGTCAAGTTTTATCTCCCTTTTGACAAAAAGGATGCCAAAAAATTGTATTACATTATATGCTTGCCTACTCCATTCACTCTTTAGCTACTAATTTCCAGTAATGTCTCTGCTCTCAGAGATGTGCTGAACTCACTTAAATATTGTCATAAAATGTACTTTTTTTCTTTCTCTCCCGGTCTACATCTCTGTTATGCATTCGTATGCCTTATAACAGTCTACACACACACACACACACACACACACACACACACACACACAGTTTTTTCTTATTCATTCTCTAACTCTCTATTTCTCCTTCTTTTGACTTCTGATTAGGCTCCTTCATATTATTTTATAAATGTGGTTATTGGTTGGTTTTCCCTTTTCTTTGTTTGCATGTGCTTAGTAATCTAGTAATCTCTGCCTTTGACTCCATATAAAACGGACTACTATGCTGCTGGGAAAAATAAATGAGTAAATAATATGAAAATACATAAATAAACCAACTTCTTAATCTTTTTGACTACTCAGTGATAAATAATCACTTCTGGAGATGAAACCCAGAATATTTGAAACAGAGATAATAACTACTGCTAAATTAAAAGACGTGAGAGGCTTCCTTAATCTCACTTGTTTATCATAAGACATTTATTGATCATCTCCTACATGCCAGGTGCTACACTAGGCATAGGGGCATCATGCATGATGAATTAAGTGAAAAAAAGCCCTAAATCAATGGTGCTATAGGAGCAAAGGGAGACCCAAATAACTTCAATACAACAATTAAACACACACATATACACGTGTGTGTATATATATGTGTATACATGTATACACATATACACATACATACACATATATGTACATATGTGTATATATGTATACTTGTATGTATATATGTGTATATATATGTATACATATATATGTATATATACACACACACACAGGTACAGAGTGTACAGCTGGGATAGACGATATAAAGAAAACATAAATAGTGCTAAAAGGTCAAAGTATAGGGTACTTAGATGGGAAGCTCAGAGAGTCCTTTCTGAGACTTCAAGTTCGAACTTCAAGGATAGGTAGAAATTGGCCAGGTGGAAAGAAACAGGAGCATCCCATGTGAATTCATTGTCTCAGTGAAAGCACTTAGGGAAAAGAAACTAAGAGCTTTAGAGAAGTTATAAGGAAATTATTATGAATGGAGCAGTGCATAAAGGGCAGAAGTAAGTGACATAAGATGACAGGACGGAAACAGGTAAGCAAGGTTTAAGTTATTAAGGATTTTGTAGGTCAAGATAAAGACTATAAAATGTATGCTAAGTGTAGTAGGTGAAAACCATTGAAGGGTTTTAAACTGATGAGTGAAATGATCAATTAATGTTATATTTACTGATTTTACCTCAATAATATATCTCAAAATGATTCTATGTTTACCATTCCAGTGATCACCACGCCTAGAGTTCTAACAAATCCACTAATTCAGGTCGTTATTACTCTTCACTGGAGTTATTACGGATGACTTCTAAAACATATATAAAGTTAAATTCTTGTTGAAATACAACTTTAATCATCGCTCCCTCCTATTCAGTGACTTCCAATTAACTAAAGTATATGTTACCCTATTTCTTAGCTTGACATTCAAAGCTGTCTATTGCTGGTTTTCTTTTTTGTTTTACATTCGAACTTATGTAGTAATTATCTTGAATATCTTGTAATTTTCTACAGATTATTGACTTGCAACTAACCTTCCTATCTTTTTGTTCAAGCTGTTTCTTGTGCCTTTACTTCCTTCTTCTCTATACATTCATTTTTCTCTCCAAAGGAATATATAGCCCCATTTACAGCAAAAATAGATGAACCTGGGGGATATTATGTTGCGTGAAATAAGCCAGTCACAGAAAGACAAATACTGTATGATTTCTTTTAGATACCTAAAATAGTCTAACTCAGAAGCAGATAATAGAATGTCAGTTGCCGGGGGAAGGGTGGAAGAAGAAATGAAGAATTGTGCAATGTATAGAAAGTTTCAGTTCTACAAGATAAATAATTTCTGGAGATCTGCTGTTCAACATGGTGTCTGTAAGTTAATAATACTGTATTGTGCACTGAAAAATTTAAAAGTGTAGCTCTCATGTTGTGCTTTTACAGCAACAACAAACAAAAGCAAAAAACAAGCCCAAGCAAGTGTTTGGAAATGATAGATATTTTTATTACCTTGATTGTAGCGATGGTTTCACCAGTGCAAGCACATGTCCAAACTCATCAAATTGTATACACTAAATATGTGCAGATTTTTGAGTATCAATCACACCTTGATAAAGCTGTTTTTTAAAAAAATATAGTGCCAATGCCTGCTTTGCCACGAACCTTCTTTGAGCAACTTAGTAAAATGCCAACTCTATTTTTCTTTCTTTTAATGTGAAATGCACATAGTTTTTTAAATAAAATGAATATGACAAGTTTTGTGGTAGTGAAGCATGGCTTTGCACCCAGGTGAATAGTGTGCAATGTAGTGTTATAATTTGATAACTCCTGTAGTAGAAATATACTCCATCAATGTGTGAGCTCAAAGAGGAATCACTAAATACTTCCTAGAGGAGTCAGTAATTACTTTAGAAAGATGTGCTTATTAGGCCTTTCAACAGACACTAGAGTATTTACATCAAATTGGGCCAAAGTCAATCTAGAGAGAAGGAATGTCTGTTTAATGTCTTACCACTTCTCCTAGAGTATATATACCCAGACATTGGGAGCTGGGTCTACATCATTTTTCAGTAGCCTGCAGTCTCCTACCTTACACATAGAAAACTATAATCTCTTTCTGGTCTAACATCTTCAATTATAGACATGGAAGCCTGGAAAGTTCATGAAGTCTTTCTTGTTACACCCTGTAATATATTCCTAGGCAATTGTTGTTACCCTTGTTCAAACCCAAGCTCATCACTGTCTTCAAACAAACTTGACCATACTTCCTCTTAGAATAGAGAAGTTATTGGGGAAAACAATCTCCACTCTTGATATTATCTTCCTTCAGTAGGCCCATCCATTATCATGGTAGTCTTAGCCCTTCTCTGTCACTTCCTCACTCATGAATAGGAGGAGTAACTTCATTGAATATGAATTTAGGATAGGAAGGCTGGCAAGAATGGTTCTGCTCTTTCAATTCTTCTTTTACTTGGGAGCTTAGCTACTGCAGAAAGTGTCCCTTTTTCTCTGTTCTTAACATCACTCGTGTTTAAGGGAAGACCTGAGATGTTCCTACAGAAGCCATAGAAGGTTGTCTGTGAGAAGGTAAGAAAGTCTGTCTAGTTCAGGAATTCTGTATTAGGAAAACTATTTCTTCCTTCCTCACTTCCTCTCTGCCTTCATTGTTTCCTCTTTAATTTCTTTTTTTAACTGACATAAGCAATAGTCTCCACAAGGAAAAAAAAGTTTTTGTTTGTTTATTTGATGTATCCTTCAACCCTCACTAATACCCACAGTGGTTGTTTTAATTGGAATGGCTAATCATTCCTTGCATGCCAAATTTTAGTCAGATAATGTCCCTAGCCCCAGCAGTAGCTGAAAGATTTCCAGCCTTTTCCCCGATGGCATGCTGTTGTTATTCCAGATTGCCTACTGCTAATCTGTTATGGATCATGATAATAGTGATATTCAGTAAATATTTAAGTAAATGTCTTCTGACTGCTAGTCTATAGTTATGACACAATATTATAAAATCAACATTTTTATAGCTATTTTCGTATTATGTGTGTAAAATAAGGATTCCAGGAAACAGTTTCTTCGGTAATTCTGCTCCATTCATTTTATTATTATGTTTACAATGAATTAATTTCTGTTAACACCTCACTAAATGCAACTTAATGATTGACGATGTCTCTAAATTTCATTTAATGAAGAGTAAAAATATATACATAATTTAATGTTATTACAATCCTATGTTTTCCTATAAAATGCAACAAAATGCTACATTTTACAAATTTTGAATTGAGCTTTCCATATAATCTATGATTTTGATTTTATTTTTGTTGTTTTTGAAGTGCACGAGTAATTATGAAATGACTTACATCTAACACTTAAACATGAGTCGTTCTCGTTCTTCAATACACAATTAGAAAGGGAAATTCCAGTTACCATTAGACAGAAGAAACTGCAAAACAATTAATATTAAATTATTCTAAAATGTTCACACAGTGGCATCAACATTAAATAGACTATCTCTAATTCAGACCAAAAACTAGTGTGAGGGTTTTTCATGTTTCTGAAGAAAAGCATCTAAGAAAAATATGTTCTTTTCATTCTTTTATTAGTTGAGATTCATATTTACATTCATTAAGTGTGTGTGTTAAAAGCAAATTATAGAATGTTATTCCAACTTGCATTTGAGACAGAAATTCTAAAACTATACCCTGCTGTAATCTTTACCAAAATCAGTTCTGCATAAGCCTATTGATAGAATAAAATATTATATTGGCCCTTAAAGATCACATATTTTCATTTGCTTGTTTTCTTAAATAATAAAAACAGCTACAAATTCTTGATAGAGACTAAAAACACTTGCCTAGAAAATTCTTCTAAAATGAATCTCAGGAGAAATTTTAGTTTACGAAATTTTTGACCATAGAATTTCAAATGGTAAAACAAAATAAAAATATTATTAGAGAAAAAGGAATGTAGAAAAATAATTTTTCTTTTTATTTATGAATCTAAATTAAAATTATACCCCCTTCCATCTTATTGAGTGGACCCATCTCTCAGCCTAGGAGATTCTTAAGAAACCTGAAAAATTAATTCAGGCCACAATGAGACAGGTGGTGTTGAACATGCCTCATATCCTTTCTCTTTTGGAGTTTCAACAAAACTGAACAATATTAACATTAAAAGAGAGATCCTAAGACTGACAGAAGAGATTCGTTGTATTAATAAGATGCCAAGTCCAACCCGACTCTTGATGGATAACAGGCCCTAAAGGAAATCAAAGTATTTTACAACAAAGTGTATTTCACTGACATATTTTGAAATGGCCCTGCAAAGCCATCTTTTGTGGGGAAATTTTATACTCTGTAGAGAATCCCCTTCCCTTTGCAGGTCTTTTCCTGATCCATAAAAGATTTCAATAAGAGTCTGACATCTTCTAAGGTCAGATAAGAGACATTCACCCTCTATTCTATCTGAAGCCTGCTACCTGGAGGCTTCCTTCACATGATAAGAACCTTGGCTTCCACAACTCTCTTCCAGTCTTACCTTAACTCAAGCTGACTTCAACTCTTCAGACAGAGCTTAACTCCTTCAACCAACTGCCAATCAGAAATCTGAATCCATCTATGACCTGGAAGCCACCGCTTCAAGATGTTCCACCTTTCTGGGCCAAATGAATATATGCTTTACATGTATTATGTTTTGCCTGTAATTTCTGTCTCCATAAAATGTATAAAATCAAACTGTATCCCAGCCATCTTGGGCACATGTTCTTAGAACCTCCCGAGGCTGTATCATCTTGGGCACATGTTCTCAGGACCTCCCGAGGCTGTGTCACAGGCCATGGTCCTTAACCTTGGCAAAATAAACCTCTAACTTGGTAGAGACCTGTCTCAGATATTTGTTGGTTTACTACTGAAATGTTATATAATACATTCTGATATTTAAAATCTGGATTAATGACATCTTTATTTTTGAAACATAAGGAAGAATAAATGAGTAAATCAATTTGATTCAGGTAATTGGGCACCATATATACTTCTTTTCTCTTGATTAGAATGTCAGCGGGCTCAATTTCGATCACTCATACAATTTGAAACAGGATTGGCAGTGAAGAAAACACTGAAGAGAGTAACATATGCTCCATCTATATAATGACAGACTCACCTAAGCCATTAAACGGAGGCAAATTTTGGGTTTCAACAGATTTAAGCTCCTTCGCACTTTATCCAGATATAGAACTAGGAAAAAAAAGAAAATTCCAATTAGTCAAAGTCCTTTCAAATTATACTTATTTTCTCTATAACTTTGGCAGGTTTTATAAATTCACATCATGGGAAGTTTAATTAGCATTCTTATATTAGTTTTTAAAACAGTGAACAATATTTCTTTTCTAGAACGCAAGTCCCTTTTCGAAGTTAGTTGTATTATCTTTATATAATTCATTGTCTTCAGACAATACATTGTATTTTGACTTGCTTATTTTCACTCTTTTGGAATCCACTTGTAGCTTTTCAGAAACATATCCAAAAGAAGGCACACAACACAGTCATTCCCATTTGCAAAAACACATACTTAATTTTATATGAAAAATCATTGAAAATACTGTATTTTAGACTTAATAAACATGTCTTACTAACATCAAGATATATTATGACACTTTTTTTAAAATTTCATTATTTTTATACTTTAAGTTTTAGGGTACATGTGCACAATGTGCACGTTAGTTACATATGTATACATGTGCCATGCTGGTGTGCTGCACCCATTAACTTGTCATTTAGCATTAGGTATATCTCCTAATGCTATCCCTCTTCCCTCCCCCGACCCCACAACAGTTCCCAGAGTGTGATGTTCCCCTTCCTGTGTCCATGTGTTCTCATTGTTCAATTCCCACCTATGAGTGAGAACATGCAGTGTTTGGTTTTTTGTCCTTGTGATAGTTTGCTGAGAATGATGGTTTCCAGTTTCATCCATGTCCCTACAAAGGACATGAACTCATCATTTTTTATGGCTGCATAGTATTCCCTGGTGTATATGTGCCACATTTTCTTAATCCAGTCTATCGTTGTTGGACATTTGGGTTGGTTTCAAGTCTTTGCTATTGTGAATAGTGACACAATAAACATACGTGTGCATGTGTCTTTATAGCAGCATGATTTATAGCCCTTTGGGTATATACCCAGTAATGGGATGGCTGGGTCAAATGGTATTTCTAGTTCTAGATCCCTGAAGAATCGCCACACTGACTTCCACAATGGTTGAACTAGTTTACAGTCCCACCAACAGTGTAAAACTGTTCCTATTTCTCCACATCCTCTCCAGCACCTGTTGTTTCCTGACTTTTTAATGATCGCCATTCTAACTGGTGTGAGATGGTATCTCATTGTGGTTTTGATTTGCATTTCTCTGATGGCCAGTGATGATGAGCATTTTTTCATGTGTTTTTTGGCTGCATAAAAGTCTTCTTTTGAGAAGTGTCTGTTCATATCCTTTGCCCACTTTTTGATGGGGTTGTTTTTTTTTTTTCTTGTAAATTTGTTTGAGTTCATTGTAGATTCTGGATATTAGCCCTTTGTCAGATGAGTAGGTTGTGAAAATTTTCTCCCATTTTGTAGGTTGCCTGTTCACTCTGATGGTAGTTTCTTTTGCTGTGCAGAAGCTCTTTAGTTTAATTAGATCCCATTTGTCAATTTTGGCTTTTGTTGCCATTGCTTTTGGTGTTTTAGACATGAAGTCCTTGCCCATGCCTATGTCCTGAATGGTATTGCCAACGTTTTCTTCTAGGGTTTTTATGGTTTGCAGATGACATGATTGTATATCTAGAAAACCCCATTGTCTCAGCCCAAAATCTCCTTAAGCTGAGAAGCAACTTCAGCAAAGTCTCAGGATACAAAATCAATGTACAAAAATCACAAGCATTCTTATACAACAATAACAGACAAACAGAGAGCCAAATCATGAGTGAACTACCATTCACAATTGCTTCAAAGAGAATAAAATACCTAGGAATCCAACTTACAAGGGATGTGAAGGACCTCTTCAAGGAGAACTACAAACCACTGCTCAATGAAATAAAAGAAGATACAAACAAATGGAAGAACATTCCATGCTCATGGGTAGGAAGAATCAATATCGTGAAAATGGCCATACTGCCCAAGGTAATTTATAGATTCAATGCCATCCCCATCAAGCTACCAATGACTTTCTTCACAGAATTGGAAAAAACTACTTTAAAGTTCATATGGAACCAAAAAAGAGCCCGTATCACCAAGTCAATCCTAAGCCAAAAGAACAAAGCCGGAGTCATCACGCTACCTGACTTGAAACTATACTACAAGGCTACAGTAACCAAAACAGCATGGTACTGGTACCAAAACAGAAATATAGATCAATGGAACAGAACAGAGCCCTCAGAAATAATGCCACATACCTACAACCATCTGATCTTTGACAAACCTGATAAAAACAAGAAATAGGGAAAGGATTCCCTATTTAATAAATGGTGCTGGGAAAACTGTCTAGACATATGTAGAAAGCTGAAACTGGATCCCTTCCTTACACCTTATACAAAAATTAATTCAAGATGGATTAAAGACTTACATGTTAGACCTACAACACTTTTTAGGCAAGGTGTGACACCTTGACATAGAAAGAAATTGGATTACACACTTAGAAATTTTCTTTACAAATCTACCTAGCCAAAAACAAGGCAATACTATACCCTTGAAAAAATAAATCTAAATGTATCACAGATCTAAATGTAAGGTGGAAAACTATTAAACTCCTGGAAGAAAACATAGGAGTGGGTCACTTAGATGATTTAAGTTTGGTGATGTCTTTTTAGCATTACCAAAGGCACAACCCATGAAATAATAAATTGATAAGATGAATTTCATTATAATTAAAAATTTCTGCTATGAGAATGACATTGCCAGAGAATAAAAAGACAAGGCACAGACTAGTAGAAAACATTTGGGAAAGATATATTAAAGGACTGTTATCTAAAAATATAAAAAGAACTCTTAAAACTCAACAAAAAGAAGTATCCCATTTGCATACATACTGAAAACATTGATTGAATTCAGTGGAATATTACATATTGGACTCTATGCCAGGTTATTGGGTATAAAAATGAATAGACACTTTGCAACTTCTATTCAGAAAATAAAAATAAGAAAAATAATTACTCAACTAGGTTACTAGGACAAAAAACAGGTGATATATGTAAAATTAGAGAAGTTCAAAAAATTAGTAATGACAATTAGAGCCACATTACAGGTCACGCAAAGAGGGAGAATTTCCAGGTGACCTATGAAATGGGAAGTATTTATGCGAAATGTAAACGGATGGAGAAAATTGTACTTAATAAGAGACAGTGCATATGTGATAAGCCATTTTGATAATGGGATGAAGAATGTGAAAGCCACACAGACAAATATTTCTGGGCAATAAGAAAACTAAAAATATTAAAATTTAATATTTATCAAGATTTTGTGTCAGACACTGGATTATATGCTTCACCACAGTAGTCCCAATTTATTTTCCCAAAACCATTCTGTGACAGTTTTATTTTCTGATAAAAACCAATAAAGGTATAGAATCAAATGATCTAATCTTTTAATTTACATACCGCTTTGGCTATACATAAAAACAAAATTCGTAAATAAGAATTTATTTTAATCTTCTCAATATATCATTAAATCATTTTAAAATATAGCTATTAATTTCCATGTCAACACACTTTGTGAAAAATAACTAATTTCCATACTCCCAAACTTAAATGGAAGTCTTCCAATATAAAAACTTATTTCTAGAGAGATCAAGCACTTAAACACGAATTCTGCCATAAAAATCTTCATAGAGTTCCAGTAGTATATGTATTATTTAGATTTGCTGCAATATAGTAAAAAACATTTATGTGCAGAAAATATAAAACAGAGGTGAGGTACCCACCGCTCAACCTAAGTTCTCTCTAATTAAGCACAGGTACACACATACAGGTACACACATAGGTACACTAAGATAATATAATCAGCCTCACTTATTCATGAACTTATTTCAAATTTGCAGAAAGTATATATATCATAGTAAGGAAAGAAACCTTAATTTTCATTTGACGTGAGCACAGAACACCAGCAGAGGTAGAGAAATCGGTTTATAATAAGGAACTAATTTAAATAAACCCAGTACCATTTTTTTTTAGATTTATTACTGATGCTTCAAATTTGAAAGAAGACTCTCATCATCATCAATAGGTAAATTCCTCTGGGTGATACCTCAGGGCAACAAGCATTTTAGAGGAAAGGAAAAGGAGAGGGAAATTCACTTGAGGAAATTTAGATTAAATCCAAGAACATGAAAAAGAAGGATGTAAATAGAAAAATAGAATCTAATATTTCAAATGCAAACTTGTTTTAATTATTTTATCAGCAAGTTGGTAAAGTATTTAGAAAGAGATTAAATGTAGTAACATGAACATTCTGTATTTGTAAATGTCATGTACATTTACGATTTTTTTTTTTTTTTAGACGGAGTTTCACTGTTGTTGCTGGAGTGCAATGGCGCGATCTCGGCTCACGGCAACCTCTGCCTCCCGGGTTCAAGGGATTCTCCTGCCTCAGCCTCCTGAGTAACTAGGATTACAGGCGTGTGCCACCACACCAGACTAATTTTGTATTTTTAGTAGAGAGGAGGTTTCTCCATGTTGGTCAGGTTGGTCTCAAAATCCCGACCTCAGGTGATCCTCCCGCCTCGGGCTCCCAAAGTGCTGGGATTACAGGCATGAGCCCTGCGGCCGGCCGCATTTATGAATTTACATTGCAGTGTAGTATCTATTCATATTGGTTACCTTTATAAGTATTCTTCTCCAAAAAAAAAATCAAAAGTTGGCAAGATAATCTGGTACAGAATATAAAGGACTTTTCTCCTAAGATCTAGGCTATCTAGTTAGTCAAGAACACTGTCTAATGGTGATTACAACAAGTAATTACTATTTCCATGGTGCAGTTATGAAGCCATAGACATACAAAGAAAGTTTGAGGGCACACCTTGCAGGCTAACACATATAAAGTAATACAAACATCATACTACACAATTGCTAAAACATAGCTCTAATGAGGACTTAAAGTAAACCTACATCCTTCCTGAGGGAAAGGTTTTGAATCAACTGTATTCAGCGTTATAAAAAGAGGTGACAATCTCTACCCCTTTAAAGGTAAATTAATAACAATTTTAAATGCAAATGAAATGTTAAGAACCTTGGAAGAAAAGCTTTAGCCTAAAGCCCAGTGGACTCATAACCCCAAGTTATAAATAAACTTGTTTATCACAAAGTTTTATTCAGATTTGTCTTTCACAGACTTATACTAGAAACACACAAATACCCATATTCTGTACATGTTAAAATGTGTTCAAAGCACGGTGGCTCATGCCTGTAATCCCAGCACTTTGGGAGGCCGAGGCAGGTGGATCACCTGAGGTCAGGAGTTTGAGACCAGCCTGGTCAACATGGAGAAACCCTGTCTCTTGTAAAAATACAAAAATCAGCCAGGTGTGGTGGTGTGTGCCTGTCCTCCCAGCTACTCAGGAGTCTGAGGCAGGCAAATCGCTTGAACCCGCGAGGTGCAGGTTGCAGTGAGCCGAGACCCTGCCATTGGGTTCCAGCCTGGGGAACAAAAGCAAAAAACTCTGTTTCAACAATAACAAAAAAAATTATATATACATATACATATATATGTATGTATATATGTGTGTTGGTTTTATCATACTGACCTTCTGAAACATTCTATTTTTAATATAGTATAAGTAATATTTAATAACCAGTATTCCTTATAAATAGAATACTGTTTTTGCCATTTTGATGAATGAATAAAAATGTTATAATCAGTTTCCTGGCTTTTTTGGAGTTTGAGTGGGGCAAAAAGTAACAAAACAACACTTTAAAGTTAAGAGAGTGAAATGGTTATATATATACGTACACACACACATATGTATATATACACACATATTTGTATATATAAATTTCTTACAGATTGGTTAAGGCATTATAAGTTTTCTTTTTCCCAGGGGATACTATATCCTCTTTGTATTCTGCAAATAATAAGTTCCATACACATAAAATAATGATGTTCCAAAAATATATTTGAAAGATTAAAATATTTTGCAGTTATAAATACTTTCATTATGCCAAATGTCCACTCAAACAAAAAATATATGGTAAGAATCTGTAGGGGTTGCCACATGCAGTTGGGTGAGTTGAACACTGTGCAATATGTAAGGAGGTGTTATTCAAACTACAGACACTATAGATTTAATATTTATTACAACATATTTCCAGGAGATAGCAGTAAAATATATCGATGACGAAAGAGGTATTTGTTATGATAGTCTTAACAGATAAGAGCAAAGAAACTTGAGGAAGGATCAACTTTTTCCCATTCACATAAAATTACTGTAAGAACTAGGGAAGCCTTGAGGATGTACAGCAAGAAAATACAGTGCCTGAGAAGGCTTATCAAGGCTTCAAACTCATCACTAAATATAAAAACTAAATATAGTCTTTTATTGTTCAGACTACAAGTAAATGGTTCAACTATGGTAGGAATGAGACTCAGTTTATCCACTGTAATCACTAATCCCAACACATACAGGAGTGGACCTCTACAACTATGTCCATCGTAGATAGCCTTGTCTCTACTGACCATAGCTTATTTGATCTCAAGTAGAAACCTGGCCCACAAAGACCAGTTCATAGAATAAGCTGGAACACTCAGTGTCTTTTTTTTTTCTTTCAAATAATTTGAATTTGAGATTACTAAAACAGGGTTAGGGGGCATTAAATCAGGAAAATGATATAAAACCATTTTTCACCACATGCATAGAAAAACAAAGAAAGTTCATCTGCAGAAGAGATAAAGTGCCTAAAGAGGAATACACATTCAGAGGATTCCTGAGTTATACATAATTGGGTGAAGACATTCTATGAGTGTTATCATAGCTATGAACCATTGAATTACTTTTATTTATGACTTTAACATTTCTTCTCCGTTTTTTTTTTTTTGTGTGTGTGTGTGTTATGGTAAGCAAATTCTAGGGGAAGTGAAATTAGTAACTCTACACATTGTTTAAAACACATGCCCTAAATTTTGGCATTATTAGTTACAATAACTCAGTGCATATACAGAATGAAAGTATTTAAGATACAGATAGGCTCACCTAGTGAAGAAGTAGAGTGGACATTGTTATTACATGAATAAAAATAAATTCTTCAAATTTATCGAATACTTACTCCAGTAACTTTTTAAGATGGTCAGAAAATACAAAAATAAATAACTTATTGTTGACAGAGGAACACTTTGGTCATATTTTATTATAATTTCCACATGAAAATAATAAATTCAAAGCACTTAGCATAGTTTGACTCAGTATGTACTTGTAATATACTAACTCCATCAGTTTCTACCACTGCTCCTACTTTTAGTGCAGAGTAATAATTAGGCTCTGACTTTTTCTTGATTCAGTCAGAGAATTTTTTATGAAGAGTTGTAGCCCTAATTACTAGCTACTAAATTTAAAAGTTAGAGTGTGTTATTTTTTATTTTTTGGTGTATGGGAGAACTATATGGGTTTAGGTTCCAGCAGATTATAATCTATAATATGTCTACATTAAAACATCATAAACCTTGAAAATATCCAAAACTTTCAAAAATCGTGATTAAAAAACAGAGCTAGGAATTCATTCCTTGCTTACAAGAATAGTTGTATAGAAATGTCAGTGAAGCAAGAAGGTACCTTTATAAAGGAAAATAAAGCATTCATCCACTTAAATAATTTATGTTATGCACCTTCTATTGGGAGCAAAATGACTAATATACAGTGAATACTGTTTCCTACACTCAAACTCTGTGAGAAATTCCACTAAGTATATTGGTTGCTACAATTTTCTTTGATAAACATTGTGTTTGAGAAAGGCTTGTGAGGACTGAGAATGCACAAGAGAGAGCAACTAACTCAACATCAGATAATTTTTGGAAGGATGTATTGAAAAATCAATTCTTTATTCATAAATTCTTAAGTAAGAGATAAGCAGTATGAGGAAGTGTGGAAAAATATATAACAATTATAACATCAAATAGTAAAATAAGATAATATATTTTTAAAAAATGCAGCAGCAGCAGCAGCAGCAGCAGCAGCAGCAGCAGCAGCAGCAGTAGTAGTAGTAGTAGTAGTAGTAGTAGTAGTAAAGCCAGGTTTTCTAACATGAAGGACCCAGGGTCTAGCCAAGGAATTGGGAATAGGGCTTCAGCCAACAGAGTTAATCTCTCCGTGGAAGCTGGGAGTCAGAAAAGGCAATCTGAATGCAAGGACAAATGAGGAAATAGTAGAGAATATCAGACACAGACTATAGAATGTCTCAGAAGTAAAAACTAGAATGACAGGTCAAGATGGTTAGTCTGGAGCCAAGAACTAGGAAAAACCTAAAGGTATTATTTACCAAAATATGATAGGTACTTCTCATACTTCGATAAATGATTTAAGATAAATGTGTTGACATTTAAGAAGTACTATATATGCAATTCATACTGCATATTTTAAAATGTAAAATTACCAGTGACTTCATGAATATTACCAATGAGAAAAACAGTAAGGCTGGTAGGGTGGCAGATCTTATAAATTATAGGCATGAATTCCAATAAGTCTTTCATTGAATCAACCACTATAACTACTTGGTATAAATTATTTAAATTATTAATGAGAATTATCGTGTACTAGACTTCATTATGAATTTTTACATTATTTTAAATTAAAGGTTAAAATGTTACCTCTAATTACTAATAATTGTTTAGTGTATGGAATTTGTATAAATATAGAAAGTATAGATTGGTATTTAGTTATGTTCCCTTCCTCTCTCCTCTTTCATTTTGGAATGCATACTATATTAGTGATTAATTTTTTTAACAGCTAAATATTGAAATGATGAATATTATTGGTGACTGTGAACAAAACTGCCAAATATTTGTGTCTGTTGAGTTTATTAATAAATCTATAGCACCTAGAACTGAGACACTCAATAAATATTTTCTGAATGAATAAATATAATGAGATAGGTTTATAAAACCCAGATCAAAACACAATGACAATAGAACCTATTTTTTGCATTTTAAAATTTTCAGCTTTAAATGAAATAAAATTAACAAATTTGATAAAAAATTAACATTTAAAATTTAGATTTTCGCAGCTTGGTAATGAAAGTTAACTTTTTTTTTTTTTAATTTAAATCTGGTCTCATCTTCAGGATCAGAGCTATCCAGCCTGAAAAATCTCTTGAAGGTACAAGTAACTGAATTAAATTTAATGTATTGTTAAAGCCAAGTCTAAAATTGCAATAGTCCTGATAAACAAAATGTAGCACAACAGGGGGAAACATTGCAAGCGATATGGTCTGGCTCTGTGTCGGCACCCAAATCTCATGTTGAATTGTAAGCCCCAATGTTGGAGGAGGGATTTGGTGGAAAGTGATTGGATCACGTGGGCGGATTTCCGCCATGTTGTTCTCGTGATAATAAGTTCTCTCAAGGTCTGGTCATTTAAAAGTGTGTAGCACTTCCCCCTTTGCTCTCTCTATCCCCTGCTCCACCATGGTAAAATGTGCTTTCTTCCCCTTCACTTTCTGTCTTGTTTGTAAGTTTCCTGAGGCTTACCAGCCATGCTTCCTGTACAGACCATGGAACTGTGAGTCAATTAAACCTCTTTTTTTCATAAATTATCCAGTCTCAGGTTGTTCTTTATAGCCATGTAAGAATTGACTAATACAGTAAGTATTAAGTAGTTATTTTATAACATTTTATTGCAAATATCACAGCAGTTATCACAGTTGAGATAATTCTCAGGGTCCTTATTAAACCTGCTTTAAAATGATCTGGAGCCAGAAAAACAGTATCATTGCTGAAGTACAGTAGTTCTTCATTTTGGAATTAGAGATGCATTTAGAAATGTAAATTATCTATAATAATTCAAATCAAAATAGTGTACTACAAACAAAATCTGGTCATGTCAGTTCACCTAAACTTTTCCATTTTGTCAGATGAAATATAAATAACGAAGTCCATTTAGCTCTGCCAAACTAGAAGGACCCATATGAATGGAGAATATCTTCTAAAATATATCAGTGCTTTCATAGCAAATATCACCATGGCATAGAAATAACATATTGAGATAAGCTGAACCAATAAGAGGTGTTTCACATAGATAAACTGCTGCTTTTGCTACAAAATCTAGCCATGAATATGACACTTTGACCCTGGAGATACAGAAATGTTAAGATAACTACTTAAAGCTGCTAAACATCTTAATTGCATTAAGGAGCGATTCCGCTGAATTTTAAAATTGTTTGACAAGATTTTTAAAGAAATAAACCAGTGACTATTAATGATTATTGTTTTATACTGAAGTTTATAGGCTATTATGTAAGAAAAGTTCTGGATATTCTAAATTTCAAAGAACAAGTCTTTCTCGATGAAATTGTTGATCTTCAAGGAACTTTGAATGATTGGCAATGGAATTGCAGATCTCTCTCATGTGTTAAGTCTTTCTTGACAGTGATCACATCTCAGAAGGGATCCTCCTTCTGGCCAGTATCGCAACTAAACACTGGAATCTTGTCTGTGATGTGGAACACGCTTCTATTAAACTGAACAAAATCTAGTAAAATAGCCTTGTGTTCTGAAGTTTTAAGTAGTTCTGTTCATTTCCCTACGAAACGTTTATTTTATATTGTTGTAAGTTGAAATAATTTTACTTCATTACTTTTACTATAATAATTTGTTTAAGTATATATTAAAACCTATTAAATGGAACTAAGTTTGGCTGAAAGTAAAAGAAGCACTCAAAAGAACTGTGTCTTGAGAAAAGCAAAACTTTCTCTCTCTCTCATGTATGAGTCTAGAGGTGGGAGGTCTAGGTCTGTAAGGGAGTTCTCCTGCTAGCGGTCTTGATGATTTCCTGAATACGAGGAGATTTTTAAAATTGTAAGAACTGGAAAGACTGTAAGATTTAGCTTGGGCAAATGAGTGGCATGAGTACCATTAAGTGAATACTATTAAATGAAATAATTATACTTAATATTATACAAATTTTATTATAAATATTAATATAAAAGGCAAAAAAGTAGGATACAATTTGGATATGATGTGGTGAAGTTATAGATGTACAGAATTTTAAAATGTGTATTTGGATCTTGGAAGACTGTTCTTGTATTATTAAATTAAAAAATAGGAGACCTCAGTTAATGTCTGAGGCTATCCCTGTACTTTGAGTTGCTATATAACGAACTGCAACCTAAATTAGTACATAAACCAAAATCTAACTTAGGAGAATATTATTTCATAACAAATAGCCAGATTTCTACCAATTACATACAACTGAGCTTCAGCCAATCACAGGCAAACAACTGATCAGACTTGCCCCCGCAAAAGAAATGCCTCTTTGCACCAACAAATAAGTCAGACACCTACCTGTAGCCAATCAGAGGATTTTCTAATTTGCTTCTGTGTTTGGCCTCTAAAAACCCACTGCTCACACTGTTCAGCAGAACTCTCTGCATCTGTTCTGTTTTAGAGTGCGGCCTAATTTATCAATTGTTCTTGCTCAGATAAATATCATTAATTTAATTTGTGTAAAAGTTTTCTTATAACAGCCTGAAATGCCATATTTGAAAATCATCCATTTACCACTGGTAGTTTTGTTTTGTTTTTTAGATAATTGATTCAATTTTATGTCATGTACTATATATCTGGTTAGTCACTATAAATTCATGATCAAAAAATGAGTGACAGAAGAATCTTAATAGTGGTACACCCATGAGTGTCACCAAGATAATTCTGCCTTGGATTTCCTATCATGAAATTTGTACATAGTAGTGCAGATAAGAAGTGCTGTTATTAAGGGAAAGGAATGTAAGAAAAAAAGTTCAATATGGACCCATGTAAATTATAGATGTTGTCAGAACTTCCCAGTAGGAAGCAGAATCATGAGTCCATACTCAAGGAAGAAGGTGATATGAGAAATAGAAATCTGGACATTACCACAATTACGATGGCCAAGTATACCATAGGAATAGACAGTTTATCAAAAAAGGGAGTGTAGAGTGAGAAGATAAAATTAAAGAGAGAGAGAGAGAGAGCCATTAAGTAAAAGACACAATAATTAATGAGAACAGTAACCATGTGGTCAATGAAATAGGATAAGGAGTTTGGTGTCATGGAAACTGAATTAATAGCTTATAAAAGAAGTGGAGAAATAGTATTGACAAACCTGAACTAAAGATCTGACGTGTCACATAGGGGCCCAAAAAAGGAGGGGCAAGTTCTTCCCTTAGGGACCTTGTGACTGCAGTGAAGTAATGACTTATAATGGGTTTCTGGAATACTCAAAATGATAATAAAGAAAAAGTCAGGCAAAGAAAAGGAAATTGAGGAAAAGTGGATTGGGTGGACTTGCAGCCTCTGTTCAGAACTGAAGTTTATGATTGTTGGGCTAGGTAGTCTCGTCCTTGCAGTCTTTGATTTCTGCTCAGCCACATAAGAATAGGAATGGGCACTGGGCCTGAAACACTTCCATCCCAAGAGAACAAGAGTCCACACAGCCTGTGCTGGGCTTATCACCTCGTGTGGGGATATCTTTTCCCGTTTCAGACTCAAGGTGTGCTCCTCCTTTATCCAGGCCAAGCATGTGTGTCAGTGGCCCTCAGATATGCCCTCAGATTTTGGTACTTCAGACTTCATAGGGGACAGATTGCAGTCCTTCTATTCTGGTACATGTAAGCCAGTTGCCCTGTGTTGATTTCCAAGGGCAGCCACTAGCCATGGTGGACTGAGGCACGCCACTGTAGCTAATCTAGCTCTGTCTCTTTTCTATTCAGGAAACACATTGTTGAATCCAGTGCTTGCCTCTATCATGTTTTCCTTGGCAATTGCCATAGGAAGTTGCACTGAGTAGACATGTTTAGATTTCTCTTCCTGTCGGCTGGCTTTGGGATGAGCTTTGCTATCCTCCATGTAGTTGGAGTCCTTCCCTGGCATGGTAACCAGTGCATGGAGTTCTGCTCAACGAGCATCCTTTCTATGAAGGCAAGCTGCTGGCCACCATGAGACATGCGCCCAATTCTGTACCTGCCTGTGCAGCATTTAGGGCTATGAAGATTATGTCTCCTATAATGCTGAGGCATCAATGTTCCATTCTTTGATGAGCTTGTCATCACCACTAAACACAAATTAAAATATAAAATGCTTCACTCAGTTTTCTGTGCATAGGAGAGAGATTGCAATTGCTCTTCTCTGAATCTTTATTGTTTGAATCCTAAGTATGTCTTCTATGTTTTGTAATTTACACTTAGTTTGACAATACGGATGGCCTACAGGTACCTGTTATTTACCTGTTGGTCCATTCAAATATGTAAGCTCTTGTTAGTAAGTGATATCCTCAAATGACAAAAATCCTGTTATTTAGCTGATTTTTTATCCTTTTCATTATCAGACAAAAAATAAAAAATAAAAATAAAACACAACAACCCGATATTTTTCTAGAAATACTGAGAATGGCAAAGGAATTTACTAGGCCAATGAATAAAATGTGATTCCAGCTTGTTAATTTCTGGAAGGATATGACTGACTTTCTATATTGTTCTCATCTTAGAGGACTGCCGTAACACAGTACCAGAAAGTGGGTGGCTTAAAACAACATAAATCTGTTGTCTCATAGTTGTAGTTGTGGAGGCTACAAGTCCAGAATGAATATGTGAGCAGGACCATATATTTTCTAATCCTGTAGGGGAGCATCTCCCTGACTCTCCCAACGGCTGGGAGCCCCAAGCATTCCTTGGCTGTAGCAGCCCAACTCCAGTCTCTGCCTTTCTATGTCTGTATTTTTTCAAGCCTTTTTTCTGTGTTTCTGTTTTCTCATCTTATAAGAATAGCAGTCATATGGAATTGGGACCTACCACAAATTATTAGGACCTCATCTTAAATAATTATATCTGCAAAGACCTAATTTCCAAATATTGTTACATTCACAGGTACATGGCATTAGGAATTAAACGTATCTTTGTGGGGAAACACAGTTAACCATTAGAAACTTTTCATTACTAAAAATCCAATACTTAAATATTACAGTACATATTCCTTTATGCTATTTTTTTCACTGTTTCACTGTTTAAGGGGCATGGTCATAGCTCACTGCAGCTTTGAACTCCTAGGTTCAAGAAATCTTCCCACTTCAGCTTCTCAAGTAGCTAGGACTACAGGCGCACACCATCACATCTGGGTATTTTTTAAATTTTATTATTTTTACTTTTTGTAGACACAAGGTCTCACCATGTTACCAAGGCTGCTCTCGAAATCCTGGCTTCAGGCAATCCTTCTGCCTCAGCCCCACAAAGTGCTAGGATTACAGGCGTGAGCCTCCATGCCCAGGCACCTTCATCCTATTTCTGATACAGCCATAAACTGCCTCTCCTAGCTCTATCGAAGTGAGGCATAACTAGGTGATTGATTACTGATCAATGCAATGATAGTTTAAGGGTTGAATATTAGTCCCAACCCTGGCTGTAGAGATTTTAGAGGCTACAGCTTGAAATAGTGGCTTCCATGACAATGCAATCCACTTAGGTGACAGAGTCACATTTAGGAAAGATCTTCCAGACACCTCTACATTGGACTTTGCACATGCAAAAAAAAAAATAGACTTTAGTTGTTAAGCTAATAATACAGCCCCTTGACTAATATGCACATTTATATGAAGAGGTTGCACAGTCAAATGTTCATTATTGAATTATTTAACATGTTATCTAAAATGAAGGCCAATAAATGTGTAGAATTCTCTCAATCACACAATTTAGGGTTCATGTTATCTTCATAGAGCTAATCTCTCAATATGTAGTCTATCTCAATGAGCAATATGCATATATTTTTAATTTTCAACTTTTATTTTAGATTTGGGGGTACATGTGCAAGTTTCTTACCTGGGTATATTGTGTATGCTAAGGTTTAGGATAAGAATGATTCTGTAACCCAGGAGGTGAGCGTAGTACCCAAGAGTTAGTTTTTCAGCCCTTTTAATCCATCCCTTCCCCATCTAGTAGTCTCCAATGTCTATTGTTGCCATCTTTATTTCTATGAGTAATGTTTAGCTCTCCCTTATAAGCAGTATTTGGTTTTCTGTTCCTGCATTATTTCACTTAGGATAATGGCCTCCAGCTGCATCTATGTTGCTGCCAAAAAAAAAAAAAAAATCATAATTTTGTTTTTTTATGGCTGTGTAGTATTCCATGGTATATATATGCCACATTTTCTTTATTTAGTCCCCCCACTGAAGGACACTTAGGTTGATTCCATGTCTTTGCTATTGTGAATAGTCCAGTAAGCAATATATTTTCAAAGAGTAAAATAAACTTCTGATAAGTAAATAATGTCCCTAAGTATTTTCAATGCATTATAAAAGTGAACTAAAAATTTTAACATGAATGCTATTTAAATATCTGGAAAGTAAAAGTTTTACCAGATTTTTCTTCTGGCAATGATCAATTGTGATTCTCCTTGTTATCTATTTGGAACACATATAGGTATGTGCCATGCAAACGTGTTTAGACTAGTGTATCTGTATTCATATCTTTATTCATTTATACATTCACACAATGGCTTAACAGATATTTTGGCACCTATTTTGTTTAATACTTTGTTAGGAGTTAGGTGTCGCATAGTGAAATAAATAGGCAGACTCAGCTTGCATTGAGTTTACAGAACATGGCAGTGAGAGGAAATTAAATAAAAACAAGGATGCAGTTGTACACACTTACCAAAGTGTTATGAAGGAAAGACAGAGGGAGGTATGAAAGTATACAGCAAGGGAAAATGATCTAGTCTGGGTTGGCCAGAGAATGTCTCCATGAGAAAAGGATATCTGAGCTGAGCTCTAAACACGGAGGAGAATGAACTGAACTGAGGGAAGTGGTAAAAAGTATTTAATGTGGAGGAAAGAAGCAGTCCAAAGGCATTGAGGGGAAAGTAATATTTAATTACAGGAATATAGAGAGCATGTAAAAAAATATGTAAAATGAGACTGGAGAAAAGGTAAGGGACAGAAGTGACTGGAAGCTGCTGGCCCTGTTAGAGACCTGTTCTATAAACTGAGACAGATACGTGTCACGGTCATATATGCAATTTAAAAATGCATTTCTGCTTACAGCTTGGAGAGGAAAAAACTGATTTATGGAAAAATTTAGGGGACATCTGTAGCATTTTAGGTAAGAGATGTTCATAGCATAGACTAGGAGTGTTGGAAATGAAGAGAAGTAAATTAATTGTACAAATATTTAGGATGTATACATGTACACATTGTGACAGATATACTTCTTACTCTCTATATTGACTTTCCTTAGGACACCATTCCTGCTTATGGTATGTGTGTGCCCTTGGATATTCTTACACATGTATTGGGAAGAGCAGGGAAGAATGTGGATAAGAGATAAGACAAAATTGGTCAAAGAATAATCACCTGTTGAGAATTTCACTTCCTAACTCTCTTTAAGATATTCAGTCAATTCAGTGTTCTTACTCCCAATAAGCGCAATTTCCCTTCTATTAAAATACGTCATCTTCCTTTATTTTTTCCATAGTTAACATGAGAGATTTATCTATACTATCTCTGGTTTGGGATGGACCTTCTTGTATGATTTGCTGCCTTCTCTATACCTTCAACAAGTTGTTCTTCATTCTCCCTGGTCATTGGGGTCCCAGTTCTGCAGGTACTCCGAGGTGAAGTCTGTTTTATTATTAGAAACACAGAACACTTGTCGTAAATAGTCTTGGATTATGCCAGATATATTTAAATGTTTTTCTTCCCTCTCTCTCTGAAGTTTGAATCTGAAATGGAAACCAGCATGCTTACTTGTGCATTCCTAGACATTTTTGTTGCTCTGCATTACTTACCCATCTCTCCCACAACTCACACCCACCATTGGTATCTCAAAAGTTGTTTCTTTTTGTTTTAAAATACTTCCCCTACATCACATTATGCATATCTGTATCACGCATTCTTCCTGCAATAGGCTTATCACAATAAAGTTTACATTTTAGTCTCTCCAAATGTATTTTATATTCTTCAAGCCTTCTTAGTATGTTAATATGAACTTTTGTTATTAGTAAGCGTGTGCTCATTTCTACAAAACGTGAATTTAAAGATAAACATTTTTCCATATATACACATTAATCCTTAATTTTAAAGTCATGGTTGAGTAAAGACCTATTTGTTTTTAACTGCATCTGACCTACACAGGATTTAATGATTCAAAGCTGGAAAAGGTAGGAGAAATTAAATTTACATGTAATAAAAAAAGAAATGTGTTTAGTGTATCGCAACATATGTGGTGTAATTATGTCTTTCCTCTTACTAAGAATGGCATTTTCTTTCATCACAAGATGGCATCTGGATACTTAGTGAAGCTTAGATATCAAGTAGATTGGAGAGAAAGTCCATGGTCCATGCACTTAACTTATTTGCTATCTTGTTGAAAAGTTCCCTTTCAATATCCTCTTGATTGCTAGGCTGGAATTGACTAACATGTAGTTGATCCACCATATATTTTTTTAATATCAAGGAGGCACTAATGGCACACACCTGGCCATTATCACCAGTACAACCTTTTGATGTTTTTACCTTGTTCCCGCTTGACTCTGAGCCATTCTCTTCTCAACACTTCAACTTCCTATACATACATCCTTCTAGGATTTTTGTCATTGATGGGGTGGTTGCCATAGCTATTGCAATTAAAGCAGAGAGAGAGTTCAGGTTAAAACATAAGGAGACACTTAGAATAATATTTTGCTAGTCTGTACAGATGGTTGAAGTAATTCTACTTATAAGAACATTTCTAAATGAACTTTAAACATCAAACACCTTTAGAACATAGTAACATATAAAAATACATATAATTATAGGTTCACGTAAAGGACTTTTTAAAAGTTAGGTATAATTAACTAAATATATTGCATTACATGACCTTGTATTAAACACAAGATAGGGAGGACTCATCTTGAGTATATCTGCATAGAGGGAGTTGTATTAGAAAGAAAGCCTGAGTGTATCCAAGGACCAAGAAAGAAATACCAGCAAGCTTCTTCGATTAGTGAAAACATAACACACACACACACACACACACACACACAGAAAAATACAAGCACTAATATTATTTTTAATCTGACAGTTCATAATCCAAGTATGATTATATTTAAGAAATCTGTTAACAACATACCAATCCTTCAAATAAACTATTTTGTTGAAAAACACAATAACTATAACATATAGCTATATTATTGTTGTATACAATTTATCTGTTCTTCTAAACATAATGAACTGAACAGCTCTAAAAATTGATTTTTGTGGGCCCGGCATGGTGGCTCACGCCTGTACTCCCAGCACTTTGGGAGGCCGAGGCAGGTGGATCGTCTGAGGTCAGGAGTTTGTGACCAGCCTGACCAACATGGTGAAACCCTGTCTCTACTAAATACAAAAAATTAGCTGGGCGTGGTGGTGCATGCCTGTAATCCCAGCTACTTGGGAGGCTGAGGCAGGAGAATCGCTTGAACCTGGGAGGTGGAGGTTGCAGTGAGCTGGGATTGCGCCACTGCACTCCAGTGTGGGCAACAAGAGCAAAAGAAAAACTCTGTCTCAAAAAAAAAAAAAGGTGGGGGGATTTTGTTGTTGTTGTTGTTGGCCAAATCTAGCATTTTAGAGCCATATTTCATACACATAAGATACCTTAAAGAGATATACGAACATTGAGGGCTTCAGGACACTGCGGGGAAGAATCTCAATATTTTAGTATACAAAAAAAATAAACACAAGAGTAAATTTTGCATTATGGGAAACAGTATACCAGTTGGTAAAACTAGTTACACTGCATATGTGTTAGCATTTTTAAACATGGGTTTATGTCTGAATCAATAATTCTGAGCCTTTGAAATGCACTACTGAGATTGTAATTTTTTTTTTTTTAATTTTTAAGCTCAAGTCAATAGAAGCTCATCTTAATGCTACCTCTAAAGTAAGGTGTTTCTACTCTTCAAGACCATTTGCCCTCCCCTTCTTAGTACAACTACGGGTTCAGCCTTTTGATTCCTTCAACAGAGTTAAGTGAAGAAAGAAAATGAATTACATTGTAAAAGACAGTTATGGGGCACTAATGTTCAGAAAGAACAGTGGGTATGAACATCATGTAGATATCCAACTGTGTTAAAAAGAATCTTGGTAAAGTGGACCCCAGCTGTGTTATTCTAGATGCCCATTTTCACTTAATGACCATTAGACAGGCAATAAAGCCATTAGTGGATGTCTGTAATGTAAGAAACAACTTTCAGGTAAATCAAGTTTTAAATGCCTAAGCTTGTAAGGCGAAATAAACAAAAGTATGACAAAAGGTTATTTTTCAATTAATGTAAACCTTCTATAAACTGTTTTTCATACTAACCTATCCCTAGTAAAATTCATATGTAATTATATGAATTATATATAATTTAATAAAATAGTAAAATAAATATGTAACAACATTGTTCATTATATAACAACATAAAATGAAAGTACCTTAAAGCAGGAAGGAGTGTTAGTGAAAACTCGCTCACTCATTTATCACGCATTCTCTTAAATCATGAATTCTATCTACAATTAAGTAAACAGGTGAATAAATTGTCATCTGTTTAGCCTCTGCTTGAATAAGTTAGCCTCTGCTTGGATAATTCTGAAAACTGAAATGCACTGCTTAATTTTTATTAGACAGTATTGCTTTTTAATAACATGATTAATGATTTGATGTTTGTACTCTCTAACTACACCCACAAAATTTTCACTATGCTCTATGAGGCAAAGAAAAAAAAAAATGTTTGTTTTCATATGTCAGGCCTCCAGATATCTGGTGAAAGTACGTGTTGTGGGCAGGTAGCATCATGGCTTTTTTCTTCAATCTGGTTTCTAAAGTCAATATTCTCAATGTCTTTGAAATTCTATTTTTATGAAATACATGATTATAGAAATCATGGTCATATATCTTAACATTTACATATATACCTCTCTATGTTAGTTTATTTTTAGAACACTAAGTTAATTTATTTCAATTAATTATGTGCATAATTCTTAATATTCTTTCGATGATATCTAATTCTCAAGGATAACAACATTTTATTATGCTTAGAAATCTTCATATTAAAAGTTTAGTTTTAACCTCATTATTAAAGAACAGCTAGCAATACTCTTACTAAAATCACAAAGTTAATAGGATCTAGATCTCCTACCTTGAGCAATTTCCATCTCATTAGGTCATAGCTATTTTAAGGATTGATGCATATCCAAATAATAGAAAGAATTAAGTGACATAAAAATGAGATAAATTATTGAGCTATTATCCAATTTGAATTTATTTACAGTTTTTGATTTTAAACTTTCTTTCTGTCTCTGTCTCTCTGAGATGGAAATAGATAAAGACATAGAGAAAGAGACAGAGAGATAGAGTGACAGAGCTTAAGATTCATAATACAAAACTGTATATAAATCCAAAACATATTATAGTTGATATATGTATCTATAGATAGATATATAGTGTATATATAGATAGGTACATATAGATATACAGATACAGAGGTTACAGATACAGAGTTATCTATAGAAAACTCTATAAATGTGTAAACTCTGTATCTGTTGATATATAGATACGGATATACAGATATAAGGTTATCTTTATCTATTTGTAGATATAGATCTAGATATGTATAGAAATCTGTAGATCTAGATATCCATTTATGTCTATTTATAGATGTCTATTTATAGATGTGTAAACTGTACATATCTATCTAAACTGTAATACATCTATCTACCGAGACATAGCTATCTGCCTATAGATATATCTATCTACCTGCCCATGTAAGATTTCATATATATATATATAATATGTCTAGATAGATAGAAATAGTTTACATCGATCTATTTATGTATATAATATATACACAGATAGATAGGTATAGAGAGATATATGGTTTACTCATATGTCTATATCTATTCATCTACCTGTATGGAGAAAGAGAGAGCACAACTTAGCCTAATTTATAGTTAGAAATAAATAGGCCATGTATTGAATCTATCAGTCAGATTAAGCACCTTACCCACCTCATATCCTACCATGAATTCCTTGGTATTAGAGGAAATATATATGTTTAGCTTTTTTTGTACCATGAGAAAGTGAGGGAACATTAGCTGTCCATGTATCTATTTATGAAACTTGTATCTTTGTATTTATGTATACATATCTATTACTTTGCTTGCAGTGTATCATGGACAGGAAATAAACTTTTGGAAATATTGAAAAAGTAAAAAGATGATGAGCTTACAATGGCCAGAGAAAGTCAGATGTTAACACTTGTACAAATATATAATTGCGGAATTGGGGACACTCCTAAGCATGCTACAAGCACAGATTCTAAAGATAAAATAAAACCAGGAAGGTCCTTCTTGTAATAGTCAGGATGGCAATTGCGAGCCTGCGTTAGTAGCACCAGATGATTTGGCCCCTTCTCCTTTGCATCACACCGCTTGTCTTTAGCTAAAGTAAACAGGCATATTTGTACCCCTGTCCCTCTGCCCTCCTCCCACAACCCCCGGTGGTGGGGTTTGGGAGTAAGAGAAGCAGAGCAGGTATTCTCGGTTATATGTAAAGTCTAGGAGGAATGTGGAGACCTGACATTCAGAAGCCAGCACAGACCAGCTGACTGTGCATCAGTGAAACATCCCTGGCATCAATATCTGCAACTGATTGATAGAGATGCAAGCAGAAATTCTCAGAACAAAGATGAGGAGGCAACCAAACATCATCAAACATTTCAGAAAACTCACCACTACCTAAAAGAAAACAAAAGCTCACCCAAGGAAAAACAAGTATTCCAGTTCATGTGTAAAATAGTGGTTTTAGGAATTTAAAATATGGGCATCAACAAAAACTCAATAGGTAGATATCCTATGTGAGTGTCAATTCGAACAAACAAACCTGGAGAAATATCAGATAGGGAAATTTGAGTACCCATTGAATACTTGATGATGTTATGAAATTATTGTAATTTTTGTCTGATTATGGTATGGCGTTTACCTCGTAAGGAAAAGATCTCTTATTCATTGGATGCACATAAATATGTTTGTATCTAAAATGACGTACCTTCTGGGATTTTCTTCAAAATATATTGACAAGTAGTTGGGTGATGTGGATAGAAGTAGAAATTTAAGAAGATTGTCCATAAAAAGAAAATAAAGTTTGGATGAAGGGTACATAAGACCTCATAATACCATTGTCTGTATTTTGCATATAGTTTATATTGAGAAATAGCAGAGGATACAAAGATAATGAGTTACAGAAAAGATTTTTAAAAATTAGGGTAATTGATAGGTATACCCTAAAAATTCAGTGGTGAATGAAACCTCCATAATTTACAACTTCGTGTAATTGATATTCGAAGAGGAGGGAGTAAAATATATGCGGTTTTTAAAAAGAGCTGAAACCAAACACAACCACTAAGAACTTCAGCACAGCCCATTGAGTTAAATTAGAATGAATGCAAGCCAAAAAAAAAAAAACCCTCAAATTACACACATTGTAGAATAACATTAAATGAAAGAGAATAAAGAAGAAATTAAAAATCCTTTAAAGGTAATTAAATAGAAGATTGGCTATGCAAGCAATTATATATCTGTATTTCAAAGCTAGACTATTAGTGTACAAAGGAGATGACAACGATATATCTTCAGTAATTAGTGGTTGAAAAAAATAGTGAATTGATTGGCGAGGCTTGGGGAAAACCAGATTTCCGGGGAAAAAAAACAATAACAACAACCAAACAAACAAAAAACAAGGGGATTGAGTGCTACTGAGATCTTCTATCACTAGAGTTCACAGTTAACTGAGTCATTCATTTAATTACTTTCCCTCCCTTTTATTGTTTTTCTAAGGTACCAAACACATGGCTAAAGTCTTTTCAATTGCTTCCCTCATGCCTGTTGGTAACTGCTAAACTCCCGTCCACCCTCCTACCTATTTATTCAGGCTTTTTCTTGATTGTCATCTTATCAGAGAGGCTTTCTCTAACCATAGTATCTAATGTAGCTGTTGCAGCTCCACTCAGCATTCTCTATTTATTTGGTTGCTTCATTTTTCTGCACACAACCTCGTGACATTATTTACTTATATATTTGCTTGTGTATCTTTTCCCACAAGGATGTAAGTGCTATAAAGCATCTAGAATAGGTTTCACAAAAGTGTGAAGCAGGTGACATTATTAATTATTTAATGTTTTGGGAAGGAAAGAGCTGAGACCGCCCACCAATATTTGCTTGGGAAATGATGGTTACTTGCTAATACACAAAGGCAAAAAATAATACAGGACTGTATGTTCTTTATACTTTCTTTAAATGCTAAGGAAATAATATAAAGAAAAATGGCATGTGAAATTTAATAACAAATGCTTTTCACTAGATTTAATGTCGTGTCTCTAAATCTATTATGTACAAATTAAATTAACAAAATAAATTCAATCCTGTTTGTATTTCATCAAGGAAAATCTTATTTTCAAAAAGCCTACACCTTAAATTTAACATACTCTGAAATGACATTTTAGCGATTGAACTGTAAATTACAAATAACACCAATGTTATATATTCTTTATATATTCTGATCTTAAATAAATACAATAATTCAAAAAGTGAGATCCTTGGTGACAACCTCAGGCACTAAGTTAAATATTTATTATGAGAATTTTCTGTGTACAAATAACTCCTTTCTTCCTAGACTTCTCTTTTTGATATGTATTTTTCATTACTTAATGGTGAATTGTTATTGGCTTAACATAATATATTTGGGATTTTTTTCCCTTACCCAAATAGTTCTCATTTGATTTTTGTGGACAGAATATAGGATCTTACCTATCAGTAGTATTTTCAGATCTTTTCTAAGTTTAGCAGAGTTACAGTGGTACAAGCCTTCACCAACTGTCCACTGCCTTCACAAGGTGACCTTTACACCTAGGCTATGTCGTAGGAACATAGGGGTGTTCACACTAAAAATAGGTAATACCTTCAATAGTAAATACAACTTTGAACATTCTTCACATTTACTCTCAATATTCACTCTAGTGACTAGAGATGATGGCCAAAGATTTTGACAACATAAATCTTGCTGTACTTTACTATTAGTTAATCAATGTAATAATCTAAAATTGCCATTAAAGAGTTTATTGTTAAGATGCACAATTATTCCTTGACATCAACTTCAATTAGTTACAACTTATGGGCATCAGTAAATTATTTCAATATTTAAACTTCAGTAATATTTTCTATCTATAGTATCTGGCAAAATCTAAGAGTTTTGCAATTTACTTATTACTTAATAATGTATTTATCATGGAGAATTTCGATTTAGAGACAGGATATAGGAAGACCTAGATTAATATTTGCTCAGTAACTTCTATATGTTGAACCTTATGATAAAATATATATTTAATTTATTTTTCCACAAAAGCTTGTGAAGTATTATAATTTCAGTTTTACAAATTAGAAAACAAAGTCTCTAAGAGAATTTGGAATTATTTCAAGTTTACACAAGTTAGTAAGTTCTAGAGCTGGAATTAAAATCCAGGTCTGGTTGCTTTCAGAGTAAGATCTATCTGTATCATTTTCAGATTTTGGTAGATTTTTATAATATTCCTCTCATTTAACCAAGATCAAATGCCTATCTTTGTATCTCTCCCTTTGAGTCATTTCCTTGAACCCTTCCTTATTTCAATTTCTTATCTTTGGACTTGTTGAATTCTATTACGTTTTACATAAACTGTTTTGAAAGAATCCTCAAATATACATACCATAGTTTCATAAAAATGTACAAATATTTATGTTTCTTTTATAAACATTAGAAGAAATGTCATTTTGACTCATGGAGAGTTTCAGTTTATTTATTTCTCAGCCGTACACATTTGTTTTATGAATCTTCTCTTTGAGATAATTTTGATGTAGATCTCTCTCTAAGAAGGACAGGAGATAATGAATGACATTGCATGTTTTATTCAGTTAATTTTCAAGGATTTATAAGTATTTACAATAACATTTTATTTAGAGCTGTATAACTCTCAAGTTAAATCGTAAGACAAAATGGACTACTAATGCTTTAGTGTTAGAAAACTTTGCATTTAGGAAGTTTAAATTGTAAGTTAAAGATGTAATACTAGATGAACAAAAGACAATAGAATTGAGTTAATCTTCAGAGGAATTGAGGCTAGAATGGTGGTAGAGTAAAATTTTTGAGTTTTCCCAGGTACAATTTCTGGGACACATGTCAGTTGCACTCCTATATTGGCAATATAGGTTTAAAATCTATTGTTCTTTCTTGGGATAAAGCATTGTGGATTATGAACATCTTTCCTCAATTTGTGCAAGAAGGGATTAGTGTGGTATGGTGCTTTCAGGATATCTAGAACATAATTCTAAAAATGCAAGACACAAATAAAAAATGTGCACAGGTTATATAATTTTTAAATCTTTAGATTAATAATCTAAAAATATTAATAACTGCCACTGCTGTCTTTCAAATTTACTTCATCCCACAAAATCCTTTCAATTCATTCATTATACCAATCTCTTTCCTGACCCGATTAATTGCACATAACATTCCTCCTTCTTCTTGCTTTTCCCATGGTGTGCTGCTTCTCATCTCTAAGATCTTACCTTTACTCTCACTTCTAAAGATCGCTATTTTCCTTTTAAAAGTCATCACAGTTTATAACATAAGATAATATATGTTAAAGTACTTGAGAATATACAATTTCTTGTGCTGTAAATCATATCTATTTATGAAATATCAATTCTAGTTCTACATTTCCTAAATTAAGAGAGCTCATCTGTATGAATGAAAGCATTAATACCCTCCAGCTTCTTATTTCTGAACCTTGTTACTGAATGATTCTTGGCTACATTATTGAGTCTCTGGGTGGAGAAAAAAAATATTTCCGGATGATTCATTTCTTTCTTTTGACTCTTACTTTCTCTAATCCAATACAGGTCACCTTTCTTAAAATCTTAAATTATACACCCTTTCCCTCCTTGAAAGACTTCACTCAGTTTCTATTGGAGATAGAATTAAAATCAAACTCTATGCTATGAAATAAAACTCTCTAACACTATCTCTTCCCTCTCCTCCCACACTATCATGAGCAGTGATCTTTATGTTCCTTTGATATCCCATCCTCTTTGCTACCCGAGTGGCTTTCAGTAGTCATTCCCTGTCTAATTTGTGAGGTTTCCTGCTCTTATGTTGATCATTTCCTTGTATTTTTCAGATTCCATTTATTTATTCTCTTTGTCTTTTCTATCTCTTATTCTATTTTTTATCTTTTCTCTCCTTTAGATCAGTTCTAACCTCAAGTTGACAAGGATGGCTTCTCTCTTTTTTTTTTATTATACTTTAAGTTTTAGGTTACATGTGCACAACGTGCAGGTTAGTTACATATGTATACATGTGCCATGTTGGTGTGCTGCACCCAGAAACTTGTCATTTAACATTAGGTATATCTCCAAATGCTATCCCTCCCGCCTCCCCCCACCCCACAACAGGCCCCGGTTTGTGATGTTCCCCTTCCTGCGTCCATGTGTTCTCATTGTTCAGTTCCCACCTATGAGTGAGAACATGTGATGTTTGGTTTTTTGTCCTTGTGATAGTTTGCTGAGAATGATGGTTTCCAGCTTCATCCATGTCCCTACAAAGGACATGAACTCATCATTTTTTATGGCTGCATAGTATTCCATGGTGTATATGTGCAGATTTTATTTAAAGCAGAGAACTGTCAGTGCATTGTCATTTTCCACCTCACCAAATGGTTACTTACCAAAACATTGAGCTATTTTTATTGTTTAGTTCTTTACGGTTTTTCTCACTAAATAAAGTGCAAGCTCTGTATGGATAGTGGAAGCTTGCTTTATAGTGCATGGTTATATGCCTAAAGCAAGTGTTCAGTAAATACTTGTTCCATGACTGAATAGACTCCAACAATTTAATGACAAATATTTGATGGCCTCCTCCTAATAGTCTAAATTATTATTAAAAATTTAACTCTGTCTATATTAGATGGTCTTGTTCTAACCAAATGTTACATTAGTTAAATCACTAACTTAATTAAAGGCCATCAGCAGATTTCTCCTTACTGATTCTCTATTTTTTGTATAGTAGTTCTCCTGAATCTTTTTGACATCATTGAAACCATTGCTCAACTATATCTTAACATTCTTAAAATTCCTTTTTATTTTCTTTTGGGATATCCTATTGAAAGGGGACATATTAAAGGTAATGTGGGTCACTGACACCTTAAAACTCCCATAACCTCCATGGTAATGATAAAATAACAAGAAAAAATTGCAAATATGTGGAGTTCAATGTCTGCTATAAGTTGATTCCACTTAAATTATTTACCTTTTTAATGCCTATCAATTCTTACGTGTCACATGAGTTGAACTACTACTGTCTGTCAAAAATAAGTAAATGTAAACTGCAGGTTAAATATACATATTCCAAAATGCTTGGGACCATAAATGTTTTCAGATTTTGCATTTTTTTTTGTGAAATATTTGCATATATATCATGAAATATCTTGTGGATGGAACCCAAGTTTCAACATGAAATTCATTCATGTTTCATAATCACTGACTTTATACACATAGTCTGAAGATAATTTTACATAATATTCAAGTTTTTTTGAGCATGACAAAAAGGTTTGACTGAGTTTTGACTTCTGCCTGTCACATGAAGTCAGGTGCTAAATTTTTCACTTATGTCATCAGGTCATCATTCAAAAAGTTCCAGATGTTAGAACTGTTTGGGTTTGGAATTTTCATATTACAGATGTTCAACCTGTATTTTTTTCACTTTAAAGTTATTGATTTTTATTATTCACTGTAATTTGAATCCCTTCAAACTCCATGTGCATGTATACACACGATATCATTTGAATAGAGAACAATCAGTTCACACTGTAATAACAGCTTTACTCTAAAGATTTATTAGAGATCACAACCCAGAGCAGAGGAAAATGGGGCTCAGAACTGGGTCAGAGAAAGACAATCTTATAAGAGAAAGTAAGCAACTTTAAGAGTTATTATGTTGCATATGAAAATTAAAATTTTATAACTCTCTATAGCCTGTAAAATTCTCTCTTGTTAAAAAAATGGACTCCTGTAGGGCTGACTGTGTGATTGCTAGAGAACTGTGTGATTGCTAACTAGGCCTCTCTGACCTCATTTTTGTAAGTTTGAGAGACAAGCATGAGAAATAATTGTGAAAAACTGATGCATAAGCTGTATGTATATTATAAGAGTAAGGGTTTAAAACATCTTTTTGTGGGGTTAGTTAGACTTTACAATCCTTCTTTTGTGTGTGTCTGTCTTCTGCCAAGATATGTCCCTGTCCACTTGACTGCACAGGGCTGAGCACACAGCTGATTCTCAATACTGACTGATTGATTTATTGAAATATTCAGTGGTTTCAATTAGCTTTCCATGGCTTGACATATTTTTGAGTGCCAGAAATCTATAGTCTGGGTTTGCAATGCTCGTATAAAAGTATATATCTGAGCCAAGATTGTGCCACTGCACTCCAGCCTGGGCAACAAGAGCTAAACTCTGTCTCAAAAAAAAAAAAAAGTATATATCTGTAAGAGTATATCAGAAATAATAAATGAATCTTCTGGTAAGCTTGTTCTGTTGAATATAAGTGCCAATTTTAGTTTCCACAGGCAGGAATCTACAAAATCAGAGGAAATTTTAAGTCTATTTTATAATACAAATTATTCTAGCATTCTGTGATAGTCATAAAAATAACATAAGTGTAGAAAAGTTAGCTTACTGATAGCCTGTTTCTTTGAAACAAATTAATTTTTTAAAAAAATTTCCAGTCTCTCTCTCTCTTCCTCTCTATGTATAAATGAAATATATAAATGCATATATGTATATATGGCATTCTTACTCAAAACCAGAAATGTGACTAGCATGTCATTTGAATAAATTTTTTTTCTACAAAAAATCCCACAATGATGGCTTTATAATGCATTATATCTGGTAGATAATATCCATAAATTCCATATACCCAGTTCAATAAATATTAATGGTCAGGTTTCATAACTGACAAAATAACCTCTAGTTTTCCTAGTAAAATTTATTGTTTCACTCACACTATCAGAGATTTACTTAGTGAAATGTCATTTCTGTTAAGTTCCTTACAGACTATTGCCAAGATTTTTTTTGTAATCTAAATTACTTATTCATTAACTTCTCATTATTCTCCCAACTCACAGGAGAGGATAAAATTAACTTAAGTGATTTGTCAACTGAAGCAAATATTTTATTACAGTTCTCCTACTTGAAATGATTTTAGAATATCCCTAATATGCAGACATCTATGAATTCTGACTATTCCTAGAACAAAATAATGTAAAAGATTGATTTTCAATTTTTGTCATTGACTTACAAAACTACAAGCTCACCAAAAAATCAATGTTGTGATTAATCAGTGATTCTATGTTGTGAATACTCAAGTGAATAGTAATCTGGATATTTTACAAAATGCCTTTGAAAGTTGCAAAGCCAACTAAGTATTGAAAGCTTTATTTTTAAACTTTTTTTTACAACAATATAAAGGTCATTTAAATATACAAATATTTTCAAAGTAAACATCAATATCTACCTTTACTTAGACACCAACAATGTGCTACTTGTTTAACAGGTTTTATTTTATTTGACCTACACGTTAACTTCTATTTTGCAGATAAGAAAGCTGAGACTCAAAGAAATTAAGTACTTTGCCCAAGGTTATACAAATTGTAAGCAGCAGAGAAGGGTTTGGGTCATGATTTGATTTCAAAGCCTGTGACGTTCCATTCTACAATGTTGCTTTCCAGTCAGTAGGCAACTAGGAGGAATAATGCACATACTGTTTTTCAAATGTTATAATTTAAATGCTTTATGCAAATATCTTTATAGGATGCACTGCTCAAGCTGTGACTTCTTGCACTGCCCATAGCATTTTTGTCAATCCTTGAAGAGTGAGGAAGAGCTTTGATTATCCCTCTAGCTAAATTTGAAATGCACCAGGAAAAAGCATAGTTTTTTTCATTTTTATAATTGTATATATTTAAAGTATACAACATGATGTTTTGATATAGGTATATATAGTTAACTGATTACCACAGTTAAGCAAATCAACATATTCATCACCTAAAATGGTTACTTTTGTGTGTGCATATGTGTATGTGTGTGAGAGAGAAGGAGAGAGACAGGGAGAGATGAGAGCATCCAAATCTGCTGTCTTAGCAACTTTCTAGTGTAATAGAACATTGTTGACTATAGTCCTTATGCCGTAAATTAGGTATAAAACATATTCATGTTGCATAAGTACAAGTTTATACCCTCTTTTGTAAATCAGGGTAAAATATAAATTACTTTATCTTGTAGGAATATATAGCCGAGGAAGACCTGAACATGCTTTAGGTTTATGTGAGCATTCTGCATCAGTGAAGAACAGAAAAAAATAGGGAAATTAGTTATTTTAGGGGAGTAAAAGATAGACAAGACTATCTATAACATAGCTTCCCATCTAAAAATGAAAAGAAAAAGACCATGAACTTTAGGGAAAATCGATTCCCTATGAATGCCAGACCTGGCAACAATGTCTGGTCCACATTTACATCATCTCTTAGATTCTTTATTCTATAGTCTGTCCATTGTTTTTCTTTTCTCTACCTTGCTTTCTTCTGTTTATTCCTATCACATCTGCCAGAGTGATCTTAGAAAATGGAAGTCAGATGCTATCACTCCAATGCTCCAAATCCTCCAATGGCTTTCCATCTCATTCAGAATAAAAACTAATATTTGTGCACTGGCTTAAAAGATCCTGTAAGTGATCTGGTATCTTGTCTGCTGCCTCCTTGAACTCCAATAGAGCTCGTTTCGTTTCTGCTCACTCGCTTCTAGTACTTATTACCCCTTAAATACACCAAACTTTATCATGGCCCCAGGCCCTTGCTTTTCTATTCCTTCTGCTATGGCACTGTCGCTCATACACGAACAGTCCATGCTTTCACTTATTTTTGGACACAGGAGAAATACCACCTTATCAGTGGAGCTTAAGCACATAGATTACTTAAAGCTCAGCCCCCCTTTCCTTCAAAACTCTCTGTATTTCTTCCATGGTTTATTTATCTCCCTGGATGATGTCTCCATTATCTGATACACTTACTATTTGTTGAATTTTAGTTTCTATCTCTCACCTCAAGAATGTAAGGTGCTTGAGGGCACAGATTTTGGTCTACTTTTTTTTTTTTTTAACTGATACACCCCCATCACCATGAACATGGCTTGGCACAGAGTAAGTGCTCAATAAAAAATGTGTTTGAATAAATGAAAGGATGATAATGCAGAGACTGAATTTTTAATGTAACTAAAGCTTATGGATTTAAATGTGAAGATTTCTTTCTTGATTTAAAAATACAATTTTGAGAATTACAATAAAAGCACTTCCTAACTTGCACATTGCATTTCCTGTTTGATAAACTGAATATACATAATATATGCTTAATTTTTCTTGAGTATTTTATAGTACTTTAGAAATACAAATGAGGGCACCAAAATATTCTGAAACCACTATTTTTATAATTCTATTTGTTTTCATACTAAATAATTGTAGAACCACAGTTTCACAGTACTTTTTAAAAAAAGTATTATATGTTTCCTGACCTCTCCTCCACTATAAAGTGTTATTACTCTTATCCATTTCTCATTATGATAAACTCAAAACCATCCATTATTTACTGGTGTTTCATGCCATGATAGACAGTTAGACACTGTGAATTCAAAATTAAATAAGACATGTTCTTTGCCCTGCAGAACCATCCTAGTCTAGTAAGACCATCTTCATTTTCCAAAATGTGTTGCCCCCCCAAAAAAACCATTACTTTTGTTTCTATAGAGATATAGCCACCCATGTATCTACACAAATACACAAACATACATATAGACTTGAAAACAATACACACTGCTGTGGTCTGAACTTATTTCTTCACATTCTTCTGTTGGAAACTTAATCCCTAATGCCACAGTGTTGGGAAGTGAGCCTTTTGGGAGGTGTTTCTGTCATGAGGACTCCCTCCCTGTGAATGGATTAATGACATTATAAAATGGACTTACAGGAGTAGGTTCTGTCTCCTCTGCTCTTCTGCCATGTGGAGACACAGACTTTGTTCTCTCTCTTGCCCTTCTGCCTTCTACTATGTGTGTTCAGAGCAAGAAGATTCTCTTTAGACCAAATTCTCGTGCATTGGTCTTGAACTTCCCAGCCTCCAGAACTATGAGAGAATAAATTTATGTTATTTATAAATTACCCAGTATGTAGTGTTCTGTTATAGCAGCACAAAAGGGACTAACACACCCACACATGCACACACACACACACACACACGTTAGAAAGAGAGCTCAATTTTGAGAATACCAGGAGTCTCTCTTCTATTCAAGCAGAGCTCACACAGCTGAGGAAATGATATTGAGAATCTCTGCCTTTAATGAGTTTGTCATTTTTTTTAGTTCTCATACGTTAATTTTAAAATAGGAGAAAAAGTACGGCTTATGGAGGAGTATCTAAAACAATTAATATAAGAAAATATTAGTGGCCAGTTGATTCTACTTCTTTTCATATTAAGCCTGTTTTATAATGCCTACCTAAATAAGATTTGTATCAAGATAGAATGAAATCATTGTCTGGCACTTGGTAGGATGTCATAAAATAATAGTTCCTTTCTTAGTTTCTTGAGTCATTATCCAACTAAGAAGAAAATAATAATATGATGTATAAAATGTTTCATACATAACCGTTGAAGAAAATACTCTATGTTTAATCTGGGAATCTATCTAGTGTGAAGAAATTTAAAGAATGTAATATAATCTGAAAACTCATCATTCCTTTTGCCGCTATTATTTTACTTGTAATTTTGTCCTAGACATCACATGAAATCTTAAGTAGGCTATGATTTCAATAATTATATGTATGCTTTAATTTACAGATTTATCTGTTTTAATATTTTTTAGACTTTAGTATATTATTGTGTGAAGTCCATGTCATATTTCCTTTGAGCAATAAAGAAAGAGAATTTACATGTGCCATGATGGCCAGTGACTAGAGTTATACAGAAAGGGAGAGGTCACCACATTTGCAGGAGACAGTCTTCAAGGCAAAGGGTCAACTTGTTAGCTTCCCATGGGGCTGACAAGTAATATTCTTTGGGACTGGTGAGCCAAAAGCATCCTGACTGGGTGTAAAACTGAGGAAAATATATTAAGTGTCAAGTTGTGATTTTCAAATTAGATTTTGGAAGCCAATTTACTTCTAGTAATAATGTTTCAAAGTAATTTGATTTCTTAGAATAATCTTCCCAATACTCTGAATATATAATTTATTTGAAATAAAAATCACAGTACTATTTCTAAAACAGATTAACTAAAAAATGTTGTTTTGGGGTGTTATAACTTCACATATTCCTTACACATAAACTTGTGGGAAAAAGAGCATTTGAAAACTATTTGTAATTTACGTTACATCCATAATTAGAATTATGTTAAGACAAACTAGATCTTAGCTTTTAAAGCCATGCATTTTTGTCCTAGATTTTTAAAAGATCTGGTAATAATGCAGGTGAATGAAAATATAAAGTTTTGGCAAATATGTCTCAAGATGGAAAGAGAAATGTAGTAACCTGATTTGAGAAAATATTTTAAAGTCTCCAAAAACCCATGTCTCAAAAGAGACAACAGAAAATAAAATATCCACAAAGTTATACTATTTTATCTATATTTATATGAATATCTTACACTCCTATAACTTCCAAATCTGTATTTTATAAACTATAATCTTACTATTTTATTTTGATCATCCTGATTAAAGTTTCAGGGGACTCACCTTACCCCACAGTGATACAGGCAAATTTCAGTGCAATATACAAAATAATGAAATTACTTTTTTAATGCTAGGGAAATCTTAACCCTTTGTAAATAAGTATTAGTTAAGCAGTTTTCTTTTTTAAAGACTCTAGTGTTATACAAAATAGGATATCATGCCATCAAATGTGTTTTACTCATTAGAAAATATCCTTGAAATACTTATTAAATGTATATGTATATTACATTTATCTATATCTATATGTCTACATATATTTGTTTTCAATCTATAAATATTTTCATAAAAGGGATAGAAAGTGTTTTAAAAATCACATCATAGGCCAGGCGCTGTGGCTTATGCCTGTAATCCCAGCACTTTGGGAGGCCAAGATGTGAGGATCACAGCGTCAGGAGTTTGAGACCAACCTGGCCAATATGGTGAAACCCCGTCTCTACTAAAAATACGAAAATTAGCTGGGTGTGGTGGTGGTGCCTGTAGTCCCAGCTACTTGGGAGGCTGAGGCAAGAGAATCACTTGAATCCAGGAGGTGAAGGTTGCAGTGAGCAGGAATCACGCCACTGCACTCCAGCCTCGGCGACAGAGCGAGACTCCATCTCAAAAAAAAAAAAAAAAAAAATTATATATATAAAGTCCCTCAGCAGTGTGATTAACCAGACAGGACCCAGCACAAAAGTGAAAATAATGAATGTTCATAAACCACTGTCAATATTCTGCACAGAATTTTGGGAAATAAAAAGACACACAAATAAAACCTGGCTCATCATTAATAGAAATTCACTATTTTAATGCCATTTTGAATTCACATACTAATGAAATTAACTCAGCAATTTATATAAGAATTCCTCAACTATACAAATGTATTGCCAGATCTAAATCAAAAGGTCAAATAAACCAAGGAGGTTGAGTGGATTAAAATGGCCCCTGGGGATCAATGAATACCTACAAATGTTTATTAAGCAGTCACTTAATTGACACTTAAGTAAACTATAACTATACTGTAATGAAGATTAATAGACCATGAATGGTTATGTGTATTTGTTTTAAGAGGTAGGAACCCTTGATTATGCATGGGATAACTTAGCATTAGTGCTATATGATATTATGTTTCAATCATTTTGGGAAAAAAAGTCACTGCAAAACAATTTTTATTTAATGTATACATTAAAAGTTCTATATAATTATTTTAAATGGTATTCTCTAATTTTAAATAATATTTTATATTAATGTATGATATGGTTTGGCTCTGTGTCCCCACCCAAATCTCATGTCAAATTATAATCCCCGGTGCTAGAGTAGGATCCTAGTGTGAGGTGATGGAATCATAAGGGTGGGCGTCCATCTTTCTGTTCTCATGATAGAACTCTCATGAGATCTGGTTATTTGAAAGTGTGTGGCACCTTTACATTAGCTCTCTCTTCTTCCTGCTCCAGCCACGTAGGACGTGCCTGCTTCCCCTTTGCCTTCTGCCATGATTATAAGTTTCCTCAGGCCTCCTCCCCAGAAGCAGAAGGCTGTACACTCTGCAGAACTGTGAGCTGATTAAACTTATTTTCTTTATAAATTACCCAGTCTCAGGAATGTCTTTATAGCAGTGCAAAAATTGACTAATAAAATGTATATAAATACATCTTATTAAAATTAATCAAAGACAAAATCACAGGAGCCATTTTAAGGCATGAACTTTCAAATTTGAGCATAATTAGCCATTCAAATGTTTTTGTTGAGTATTATCATGTAGAAGAAATTTCTAGGCATTGCAGAAGGCCTGCCAAAAAGATACAAAAAAAATTGCTTTTCCTGGAAAAGTATACATTTAATTGTGCTTGTTTAGAAAATAGTCACTAAAAGTGAGAAGCTTTCAGTCTAGAAAATTCTTGAATTCTGCTATGGTATGAATTTTTGTCCCCTCCAAAATTCATGTTGAAATTTAATCTCTGTTGTGGAATATTGAGAGGGGGGCATTTAGGAGGTGATTGGGTCTCGAGGGCAGAACCTCAAGAATTAATGTATTAATGGGTTATCATGGAAGTGGGATTAGTGGCTTTATAAGAAAAGGAAGAGGGACCTGAGACAGCATGCTTAACCCCATTGCCATATGATGCCTGTGCAGCTCCAGGACTCTGCAGAGAGTCCCCACCAGGAAGAAGACCTTCACCAGATGCAGCCTCTAGAACTTAGACTTCTCAGCCTCCATAACTATAATAAATAAATTCCTTATCTTTATAAGTTACCCACCTTCAGGTTTTCTATTACAAGTAACAGATAATGGACTAAAACAGATCCAAAGCCAATTTTGCTTATTGTTTAAATATTTGAGTTGTAGAAACTTTCAGTGTGATACATTTTACACCCATGCTTGACTTAATACTTATGCGAAGAGTTTTGTATTTGTGTATTACAGTAAATACTTGAGCATTCTACAGATTTTCTGTATCCCGATTAACCTTTTTGCTTAGTGTTTCAGGAAACTATGGCAACCATATGGACATTCATTTGAAAGACTCTGATTGATTCAACTGACAGTTCAATTTAATTCAATAGTGTTAGAATAATTAAATAGTTTCTGTCTTTAAAACAAAGTGTGTTTGTTGGGATTGTTAAAAGTGGTCTTTATTATGTCAATGTCTTCTTGCCTATAAGCTTGGTTATCTTAAATCTTAATTTAATTGACTCACAAGTCAATTATTACTTATGGCTGGTTAAACAGTCCTCTTTTGTGGGTTCTTCCAGCAAGCTGCATGGGACCAATTCCTTCATATTTGTTACTAGTTTACATTGGACCTAAGTGATCAATCAAAGTTTTTTATTTTTGAATAATAGATAAATTAATTAGTGCAGTATTTTACAAAGTATATTTTTCAAGGATTTTATCTAATATGCCAGGTTAAGCCATAATATCCAACCAAATTATTTTCCTTCCTCCTTTCCTGTCTCTGTCTTTCCCTCTCTCGCAGTCTCTCCCTCTTTCTTTTTTCTCCTTCTCTTCTCGTCCTTCTCACTTTCCTCTCTTTCTTCCATTTTTTTTTCTTGTTTTATTTTCTCCTTCCTTTTCTACAACACTGTAGTATGGTAACAATCAAGTGAAAATAATATAATCATCTTTGTCAGTCATTTCAGTTTAACATAACTTCATGCGTAATTTAATTCTTAAATTCGAAATATTTTCATTTGATAATAAAGTTGAATTTTATTTAAATATATTCCCAAGAAGAGTGATTTTTTCAAACTTATATATTGTATTAAGATTGACAAATATAGAAAGGTACCTATATTTACATAATTGGCTCTGGCAGTGCTTTAAACATACTAAATGTTACTACAAGACTAACAAATAGGCTTTATTCACCATCTGCTAAATGTGACAATATTTTTAATTCATGTTCCTTTATACCACAAATTAATGTTATATCTCCTTTGGGTCATATAAAATATTGTCCTTTAAACATATAACTTTTAACTGTGGAATATTCTTATTAGTATTGCAGAGAAAAAGGAACTGCAAAATTAAATTTTAGAATAACAAATAAATTTTATATTACAGTTTGTGAATGGTGAATGAAAAATATAGATACAGAGACTTGACTTATGTTATTTTATATTATTTTAAATAAATCAAGTGAGATAATCCATGAAGCACTAATTTCTATATAAATTAATTACATGCACTTCAACTTTCAACATTATTTCTGATGGAAAGTTTCCTCTGTCCTGTTTGTGATGTGTAATTTCATAAACTATTTTCTTCCCTAAGGGAAATGCTTACTTGATTCCATTGTTGGATAAAAATGATCTGTCACCATTGTTGGCTTTAAAGGGTTTTTTGCTTAATAAACAAAAAACAAACAAAAAATCACTGAATACTGAGAGAAAAATCAAGGCACAAGGGATTGCAGTCCAGCTGTTGTGGCATAAATCAATATTTTAAAAGCACTATAGTGATTTTTATTCCCCTAAAAATAGGTCTTTTGTGCACTTAATTTCTTATTTTATTAAAGCGTCCAACTTTGCCTAAGGACTCCAAATTTAGCTTTGGTTTCTGGTTACGTTTACAGCTCAACCTTGGGGGTAACTGAGCAGTAGCCTAACTGCACTTCAGTGGTTGATTCCTATGCTCTGTTGGGGGTTACTGAAACTGTGAATTTCATGAATGGACAACAACCATATTCTTGGTTAAGTTAGGGAACACATTGCATTTCTGGTCCCTTTGCCTTCAACAAAGACTACTGGGTTCTATCTTAATGGCTCATTAAAGGAAAGGTTAAAACATTCCAAGTAGTCATGTACTGAAAGTGATCGCAATCCTCACCATTCTAAGTATAGATATAAGGGGAAAACACATCTTCTCCAAACGCCTATTTGCAAGATAGTAAGTAGCCTTCGGCTATTCTCATTTATTGCCTAAACTCTTCCATGCATAGTATACAATGATTTATGTACTAGAAGGTTATACCTTGAAATTCTCTTTTATCATTTTATTCCATTCTTGATTTACACTGATAACAGCTTTCATTCCGAGGCTACACACCAAATGCACTGATTTCGCAAAACCCGTCCCCCGTGTTCAGATGCCCATCTTCAAATTTCTACCGTACGCCTCTGGCCCCAGGAGTGAAGCAGTGCCTGGGTGCCTTAATAGCAGAATCACAATGTAAGTGTCAGGATGGTGGCATCGTCACATTTTGACGCCAGCATCCGTTTCTTCTGTGTCTCACTACAGAGAAACTAAGGCTAAAGGTTAAAAGACGCGGTTCATTAAATAATTCAAGCCATTAACCTGCAACCTGCAAACTGATGGCAGCCTATTAAGTTTACACTGCCATGATTCATGTGTGGTGTTTACTGATGCAAAAGCATAATGCCTGTTTTCTTTCCTTGTATTGCTACACAGTAATGTAGCGAGGAAGGAGGGTGAAAAAAGGTGACAAGACCCACGCAAGGGGACAATAAGAGCAGCAGTCTCACTTGCATAAAGAAGATTGAAGCCTTCCCTCCCTCCCTCCCTCCCTCCATCTCTCCGTATAGGCCCCAGTGCACATCTGCGTCACTTACAGGGGAGGAGGAGGCGCTGAGGCAGAGAGAAAATTGTACTGTGAGGACCTTGACAGCTTCACAGGCGGGCTTTTTCTTTTGCCTCCCTATATGCGCTAGAATATCTATTTTTCTCTTTTACAAACTGACTATATAAAACCACCTCTTCTGGCATTGCAGAAAGCAATTGACTTTCTCAGAGCCACCCGGCAGGCTATCGGGGCATCCTCGAAAAGGCCAGGGACAGGGGCGCAGGTGCACCAAGAGATCTGGCGAGGGGTACGCTTCCTCGAGACTTGGGGCTCTTTCTCTCTGCGCTCTCCAGACACTGAACTCTGAGCTGCAAGGACAAGAACGCCACCACCTTCCCTACTAAGGCTCTGCCACAAGCGCATCCCAGTGAGGTGTATCCAGCTGCAGCCGCCTCCGGAGCTTCGGAGCGCTCAGACCTCCCTCCCTCGCGCATCTCCAGCCTAAGGGTTGTCCCACCTCGCCATAACACGGGGCTCTCGCGCGGGCATCGAGGATTCTCAGCTTTTGGCGTCCCAGTCCTGCCTCTGCTCCTGCCTGGTGGTGTCCCCACGCCCAGGTCCTGCGGACCCGACCACGGCTGAAACGCGCGGCTTTGCCGTCTGCGCTCCAGCCTTCGCCTGGCAGAGCGCGCAGCCCACCTAGCGTCTTCTGGCTCTAGGGGTGCAGAGGGCGCATCCCGCCTCTTCCTCCGCCCCCGGGCCCCGCTGTCCTCCCCCACCTGCTGACCAGCCTACTCCTGCGTGAGCTGCCAGCCTTTTGCCTTCTGTGCGTAAAGCATGTCAGGCTCTGGGCGAAAAGACTTCGATGTGAAGCACATTCTGCGACTCCGCTGGAAACTCTTCAGCCACCCGTCTCCTTCCACCGGCGGCCCGGCGGGGGGAGGCTGCCTGCAACAGGACGGCAGTGGCAGCTTTGAGCACTGGGGACCCAGCCAGAGTCGCCTGCTCAAAAGCCAAGAGAGAAGCGGTGTGAGCACTTTCTGGAAGAAGCCTTCCTCCTCTTCCTCTTCATCGTCCTCCCCGTCCTCTTCCTCCTCTTCCTTCAATCCGCTGAATGGCACCCTGCTTCCAGTTGCCACGAGGCTGCAGCAAGGGGCTCCTGGGCAGGGCACTCAGCAGCCAGCCAGGACTCTCTTCTACGTGGAGTCACTAGAGGAGGAGGTGGTGCCAGGCATGGACTTTCCTGGACCACACGAAAAAGGGCTGGTTCTGCAAGAGCTCAAAGTGGAGCCAGACAACTCTAGCCAGGCAACAGGTGAAGGATGTGGACACAGGTACAGTAAGTCCCCACGGGGCTTCCAAGCATCTCTCAATTTCCACTCATTTCACCGCGTGTGCTCATGTGGCTACTAAGTCTAAAATGTTTCAGGTTGAAAATGTGGGTTAAGAGATGCCACCCTGGTTTTGATTACTCAAGTTCTAATTTCATTACAAGTTTGCTCATTAATTTCTATTGGTTCAGACACCTCACTTTTCTTTTTGGAAGTTTTCAAAGTTGTAGCCACCAATTGAACTTACATGCATTTTTGTAAGCCTTCAAGTGGAATAGTTCTCATATTCCTGAGATTATGGTGTTCTTCTGTCATCTACCGTCATTAAATTATATCAGTCGTTCCATTATCTGAAGATGAAATTTTGCTTTACACATCATCAGAATGCATCTCATATATTGGCCTAGTAACTGACTTAGCATATTATCTAAGGTCCCTGTGGTTTGAATCTATTCCAGGAGTAATGAGGTGGACAAAATGAGGCCACTGGACAGCAACATTATTTTACCTCTCTTTTTGCTCCTGAAATGCAGTCGTCTTATTCTCTGTCCCAACTTCTCTTCTGGTCCTTTTACTTTGTGTTCACTCTTGCCTTGTTCAGAGTAAGTCTTTGAGTTAAACTGTCGTGGAGTCCCTTTGCATTTAGCTGTTGTGATTTGTTGGCTCAGTATTGAAATTTTGTCTCCTTGGTAAACAGCTCAATATTTATTTCTAGTTTATTTCAAATATTATGCTTCTTTGTGTAGAGTTCTGCTACTTTAAAGACTTACAGAAAATCCTTCATAGACATAAAACTCCCAAGTTTTACATTTTGAGAGAATTGACTCATTACTATTCTAAACCACATCATTACTGGTTTTGGAATATAGTCAGGATATGAAATGATTTGCATTTAGATTCATGTGATATCAGAATACATTATTAAAGAAGAACTACAGGAGAAATATAGGAAAATGATAATGTATATATTAAGAAATTTTAATTACTACACAGTAACAAATTAGTAACAGAAGCATCTTTTTTAGTCTTTTGGTTGATTGAATCAGTTTCTTATAAATTTGATTAAGTACCAAAAAGAATAGATAAAATTATATATGTATAACCTATATGTGTATATATGTGTGTGTATGTATATATGTGCTCCCTAATTATGCTGACATATGTGGTTATAGATTTAAAAATATCCTTAAAAATTTTCAATTATATACATTATATATATTTTTTAATTTTAATTTTCAGAGATTGAACATATTCTAATGTTATATTAAGACATGTACTATAATGTAAGATAATTTTAATGAGGGAGAAGTATAATCTGGAATTATCAATTGTGTCAATGGTTTTTCCATATATAGGAGACCTAAATATAAGTTTATCTATCATTCCATTAAGTGAAATATTTTAGGAAAAAGAATTATAACGTTAGGTACTATGAATACTATGAAGTTATAAAATGTTATTAAAAGTTATTTAATATGCTAGTTACCTATAATTTTATAATTTAAAAAATCAAATGTACTGAAATTTTTATACCCTTTTGTTGAGTAAATATAAACACTTTTTGGGAGGAATTATCCAGAAACATTAAGCAATTCACCTTATATATTCAAAAGGAAACTAGGTTAAGTATTTATCTGTTACTATTTTATTAAAACTGATAGTTTTGAGACTCTAACAGCTCAGGAAGAAATTTAAACATTATGTGTGTTTGTCAATTTTTAAATTCTTTGAATAAGCTCCTAGAAATATTAATGTTTCATATTTTCTTAAAGTTTACTTTATACCAAATACATTTTAAAATAAGGCATATTCAGCATTAGTAGTTTATAAAGACTTTTATGTAATTTGGAGTTTTGAAAACATTAATGGAGTAGTGACTTAAGAAATTATAATAAATTAAAACTAATAACAGAACAAACAGTTTAGTTAGGGAAAAAACACCAGACTTAACAAGTTTCTTACTTTTGAAAATAGTTTATTATTTTTATTCACAAAGAGTTGTGAGTGATAAGAATTCCTAAATTAACCCATCTACCAACCAAAATCATCTTTATTGTTGGAATCAAATTATCTTATGAGATTAGGCATGTGTAAACTATTGAAAATCAGGTCCAATTTTATTTTTAGTCTAGTTTCTTACTAGACAAATCAGCTAGCACTGTATGTATTTGATGGATTTATATGTTCTTAAATTTTCATAGAGAATTGGTTCTCTGCTCATGATTGATTGAAAACCACACTAGTAAAACTAGCAATTAATCATTATCAGTATATAATATTTTAATATGCAGTAAAAGTAGGAGTCACTGCCCAGAAAAGACAGCATTTCCAAAGTAAAATACTGAATGGAAATTTTATTATGCTTTAGAAATGTATGCAAAATCATGAGTAATGTGGATTTAATTTTTTTCTGTGACAGCACATCCAGAAAAGCTACATGGTGTTTATGATGATCAGTGACTACATAAACTATATGAATGCTGTATGACAATTTTTATCACTTAGGTCATTATCATATCACCAAACAATGATGTCATATTTAATAATGAGCATTGTATTTTACAAATTCTGACTTTTCTGCTAAATTAATCCTTACATATAAAACATGAGTTGGCCCTTTCTCTGACATTATCTTTATTCATTTTATTGATCTTCTCTTTATTCATTTAGTTTTATACTAGTTAGAACATTGCTTTAGACAAGTATGACTAGCTCAGTTGAGTAAACCGGTTAGAACAGCAGATGGAGGACATTTGGGGAAAGTTGCTCACAATCTCAGAATTCTGGAAAGGTCAAATTATCATAGACTTGAAACATAAAGGTAGTGGGAAATATTGTGGTAAACCAATTTAGGGCCAAAACCCAACCTTTTTCTTACCTTACTAAATTAAATGCTCACTACCTGCATCCCACCCTAAATAAATCTCAGTGCTCTACTACCTTGACCACATAAACAATACTTTTCCTATAATAGTTCACTGGCCTATTAATCATTAATTTCTCTACTTCCCTGTCTAAATATACATTAGAAAGTATATGATTTCCTGGATATTCAGATAACCATATATTTTTGTTGTGGATATTTCTGCCCAAGATTCCATATGTAGTAAACTAAAACACCAAAGAGCAATATTTATATTCTTGCATTTTATAGTGATGTGAGTGGGAGAAGACATGTCATGTTTTAACTGCTTGCTTTTTTAGATTCTGAATTCTTACAGAGTGCAGTCATTTTATCCCATGGTTTTAGCTACCATCCATAAACTGTCTTTACAGATTTGCATCTCTAAATCTAGCCCTCCCCTCTCCTGAACTGTAGTCTTACATAGCCACCTCTCTTCTTGACCTCTTTGATAGATGTCATAGAGTCCAGTCAAATATAACATGTACAAAATTGAGCTTATAATTCCTATTCTGTCTTGCTCAATTTCCTTCTACTGTATTTCAGAGAATAGCTTTCTACGAATTAGTTTGTGCAAGCCAGAATTCCAGGGTCACATTGGTCAATATCTTCTTTCCCCTCAATTTCACTATTCTTTCAAGAATTGCTGCTTTTGCTTAGAAAATCTTTCCTATGCATGTCCCACATCTCTTCACAGCCATTGTCTGCGCCTAATCTAAGCTACGATCTTCTTTCAACTCTAGTTTTGCAACCTCCATCTCTTATCACCTCCCCTCATTATCTTTGCCTCCTCAAGTCCATTCTCTACACTGAAGTCAATAAAAATTAAGAATGGTGAAATATTTTTCCACATCCCTCACTCCCTCATTCTCCTTTTTCCCCACCAAAGGACTTCCAACACTCGCTGATTACAGTTTATACTATGGACGCCAACTGATGACAATCTGTACCATGGATTACCTGGTTCTGAATGCTCTGTCCTTTGTCTGCTATGTAGGCCATTCACTTACCAACCTTCCCCTTACCCTCTGTTTTCCAGACTTAATATCCTTCCCTATAATTTTTCACTGCCTCTGGAACTCACAAAGTTGTTTTCCTTCTTTGCATAGAGACTATCCTTTCCTTAACTGCTCCCTTCCTGAGTTCATCCCTATTCATCACAGAGATGTCATGCATAAACGTGCTGTACCTTTCCCAGGAAAGGAGTTCTTCATCACCGAAACAAATTCATATCCTGTGTTTTGTCTTCTTAGAATAACTGTTCTCTACTTTTTAAAAAAATTCTTATTGAAGCTTGTAACCATATATGAATATCTGTGTTGATTTTGTTTGTCTGTAAGTGAATTTCCAAGTGGAGAGGAGTATGTCTGTTTTACTCATCATTCTACCCTTACCATGGAGCAGGTAGTTACTCAATAAATACTGTCAAATGAATAAATATTTGATATAATCATATTTAGTGGCATTGATTAAAAACTTGCTTTTTGCCAGTTAGCATGTTGAATATTTATATGCGTAAGTTAAAATTAATAACATCTTATAATCCTGCTACATTTATGTATCCCTCTGGTATAATGATTACATAGATAAGAAGACTGAAATATAAAGAGGGTAATTAATTTTCCTAGAATCACAGACTTGTTATTAATAAGGCTGGACTTTAACCCGTTGTATCTGACTCCAGATACCATATTGGCCATTTTGCCCAATCTTATTTCTCTATGCTTAGACAAACAAACAGAACAAAAGAAAAGAGGCAGCATCTGAGGTTATGGAGAAATAATTTTCTTTTTCCCTTGGTGGAGATTGTGTTTGAATGTTTAAATAGACTTCTTAAATTGACAGTGATGGAAAAATTCTAGATAAGCCTTAGTCAAAGATGACTTCTTAGCCCAAGTTAGAAAACACCTTATTATTTTCTAAATTATAGTTCATTCAGTGTATTTTATTTTATAATTAATAAACAATATGCAAATATAACCTAGAAATGGAAAGAAATAATTATTTTGGAGACCAAATTAGGGCTTTAGGATAGAAAATCTGCTTATGAATATTGGAACTATTGATAAAGTATTGTCACTGAAAGAGAGCACACACCATTAAAAATCTCATGGAGATTAGTGGGACATGTACCAGGCACTTGTTTAAAACAATAATCATCTCTGCCTCAGTCAAGGGGATAACCAACTTTGAAAATGATAAAGGACTACTTTCTCAGGAACGTGGTTCTCAAACTATACTTCTATGAAACTAAAGTGAAATAATATTCATCTTCTTTACCACCCCAAATTTTAGAGTAAAAAATAATATAATGGAACAAACTTACTCAATTTTACTTTGTTTTTTTTTTTTTGCTACTTTATCCTAGGTTTCTGTGTTACATAGTTTACTATTATTTAAACCAAAACTAGCAAAAATAATACCTTATTTGGGGAAAGCTTACTTTGTCTATGTTAGGATGAATTTATAAACGTTACATGGTGTTCTACCCAGGAGTCCACAATATCTAGGCACCCTTCTCTCTGAGCAAGTGTGCTTTAGAGAAACTAAAACAATCGTAAGAAATAGGGCTGTTGGCCAGGTGTGGTGGCTCACGCCTGTAATCCCAGCACTTTGGGAGGCCAAGGTGGGTGGATCGCCTGAGGTCAGGAGTTCGAGACCAGCCTGGCCAACATGGTGAAACCCCATCTCTACTAAAAATACAAAAATTAGCCAAGCGTGGTGGCAAGTGCCTGTAATCCCAGCTCCTTGGGAGGCTGAGGCAGGATAATTGCTTGAACCCTGGAGGCGGATGTTACAGTAAGCCGAGATCGCGCCACTGCACTCCAGCCTGGGGGACAAGAGCGAGACTTCGTCTTAAAAAAAAATTATATATATATACGGCTATTGAATTGGATTTTCAGGTACCCAAAACTCCAGAACTACTTGTAAGAAAGGTAGTATAAACTGTAGTTTATACTACGATGTACTTATATATAAATACAAGATGCAATAGGAATTTTTAAATTACAACAATGAAACATGCTAGTTGAAGGACAATATTGTATTTTTCTTCTATAAATATTTAATGAATATTTTGTAAACTGTATGATTAGCCTTTCTATGGTACTATTTCAAATTGTTTAGAAAAATAAAGAAAGCCTACATATGTAATCAAAATTGGTATCTGGCTAACATAGAATATAATATTAATCAGATATTTGTGTTTGTTGGTTTCTTTTTACAAGTCTCCAAAGATAATTTATGTATCCTCAGGTATTATGCTTCTCATGTCTACATGTTAAGTCAAATTTTGGTTATTTTTGACCAAGAACACTTATAGAATATACAGAAAACTGTTATCTGTAGCATATGTTGGAATTAAATCAAGTTTCTGAGCATAAAAACGGGCAGCATTTTAATCAGAGTCTCAATGTCATGACCAATACATCACATTATTGATTTTATTGTACCATCTAAAATAATTTTAGGTATGTTTGTGGTAGTTGTAAAAAACAAATGGTCTGAAGTTTTCATATTGATTTAGGTCAGATAAGGATTAGTTTACTTTTCTTCATTTAAGATAGTTATTTAAAACTTTAAAGAAAAGATCTGATGAAGATACAGATAATCTGAGCAAAATTAAAGATGGTTTTGAAGATCTTGAAATATAAATATAAGCAAAAATCCTGTTGCACTAAAAAGGCTTGATGCCTGTAATTCCAGCACTTTGGGAGGCCAAGGTTGGTGGATCGTGAGGTCAAGAGTTCAAGACCAGCCTGGCCAACTTAGTGAAACCCCGTCTCTACTAAAAATACAAAACTTTTTATTTGAATACAAGTTTGTCATATCTGTAAAAATGAAGAAATAAAACTTTTTGCAGATACAATTGTCTATAAAAAAATTGATGAAATCGACAAAAAAATGTAGCAAGCTTAGCAACGTGGCAGGATACAGAATAAACATACAAAATTCAATTGTATTTCTATATATTAACAATGAATAATTGGGCATTTAATTGTAAAGATGATACATGTTATAATATTAATAAATTATGAAATAATAAAAATGAGAAAAGATGTGAAAGACTCATACACTGAAAGACCATGCTGAGAAGAAAGAGCCACATAATGAAGAAATATGAATATATAATATTCATAGATCAGAAGACTCACTACTAATGTGGTTAATTCTTCTCCAGTTGATCTATAAAATGAACATATCACTGAAGAAAATCTTTGCATGCTTTTTTGTTACAAATTGATGAGTTTATTCTAAAAATTTACATAAAAATTCAAAGGACCTAGAATAAACAAAATAATTTTTTGAAAAATTAAAAAATTTGGGAACTAACATTCCTGATTTCCAGACTTGTTATGAAGCTACATTAATCAAGATAGTGCTATATAAGTATAAGAATACATAAATAGATTAAGAATGAATAAATAAATTTGTTAATAGTCATATAATGAAATACTATTCTGCCATATAAAAAATTTAACAACTTTTTAATTAAACCTTAGTTTAACGAAAGCTGTTCATTAGTTTAATGTTTAAACTAATGTTTAATCTTAGTTTAATTAACAACTTTCATTAAACTACGATTAAATGAAAAAATGTTATTATGGGACAAAAAGCTTATTGTATGGTGTATTTCTTTTTAATGTTTATTATAAATCACATAAACTTATCTATTGTATTTATTATCCTTACTTTGCATAAAAATGTAAATCTCACTTGCCTTGAATCATATGTTGGGGCCAAATACTTCTTGAGTTTGTTATATGGCCCAAGGAGTCATCCATTATACTTACTTTACAGAATTTGATGCTGAAATATGTACATTGAGTCTTGTTGCCTTCTTCTTGATAGGAGATGAGAAAAAGGGAAGTCAAAATACTTTTCTAGTAAGCATCTCTGCACAGAAGGCTTCACTGTGTAACCATAGGAAACTTTTTTCTTTTATCTTCATTGCCAATACTAGATGAACAATGGGAAGTATGAATACTGCTCATAGGCTTTACATTAATGGGGCAGAATTTTACAATGTAAATTCTGTGATGGAGGGAAGAGAATGAGTGAATTTTTACTTATATAGAACGTCTTGAATAATAGTAGTGTTCACTGTATAGTGCAATTTACAAAAATTTGTATTATTAAATTGTAAAACTTAAAAAACTTCTCATATGTGTTTATATCAGAGAGAATAGTGTAAGTAAAATTCCATATTTTTAATATTTATTACCAGAAAATTATAAGACCGTTTTCTGTGTTCTTGACATGTTACACTGAACTTTATTGCTATTATTTTTTGAGTAAGAAGCTAAAAGTTACAAAAAAAGTAAATTTATTAAATATTGACTAAGTATAAAGCATGTAATCCATCTCAAAATTAGATATACCATCTATAGGTGTCCTAAAAAATGGAAAATTTGCCATCTAGTGGTTGTTTATTCACATTGAAGCTACATGGTGCCTTGAAAAAAATGTAAGAAGAGATGATCAGCAATTAAAACTATAATATAATACAGCAGGTATATAGGAACATTAAGATATCCTATGATAGTAAAAAATGCTCTGTGAAATCCTTTAATTCCATTTCTTATATCCAATTTTCACTACACTAAACATTAAACAGCTCCACCTCTTGATGACAATTTAAAAGGGCATCTCTGGAAGCTATTTAATTGAATATACTTTATTAATAATTACTAAATGTCCTGCCATTTCATGGAACTTTTGAAACATACTTCAAATAAGTCTTTAATCCTCAACTTTTCAAATATTATCAATATTTACTTATTTTTTTAAATTGAAAGATTTAAGAGTGTCTCATAAATTGTAGTAAATTTCAATGACTTACTATCATGCATTAGTATAATGTAAAAGTATAGATTTAAAATGGTACTACCTGTGTTTCAAATAAATTTTTGCTGTTTTCAAAAGAATATACATGCAAATTACACAGGGAACATTTATGGAATCTAGATAATTAGCAAAAATAAAAGCAAAAATAGATGTGACACTCTTATAGCTTTTCTAAATTACTCTAAGTTTATGTCTACATGAAGAACATGAGGTCACCAAGTCAGCCTTACTTACCTCACCTGAATATTTATTGAGATAATCATAGAAGAGTATCTGAAAACACTTCGAGAGTTTAAAACATCATACCATAACAGTTGAGCTAGCAATGTCATAGTATGATCTATAATACCAGAGTTAATGAAACTAGATAGAAAATGCTTGCAGCATGTGACAAGCCTCCATTAGACAGAGCTTTATCTAGGCTTTAATATTTTCAAGTTTAGTTAGCTAGTAAATAGTTACATACAGCATCATTATTCTGACATGTAACCTTGCAACTAATATTATTTAATAATCTGACAATATTTTTCACAATGATACCTAGCCTATTAAAATTGAAAAAAAAAAAACAGAAAGGAAATCAAACACTAGGCCCTCTTTAAACTAATTCTCTGAATGTTTTTTGAATTTTTAAGTACAATTTTTGAAGAACAGTATCAGGGGAACTCTTCCGAGTTTTTACATCACCAACATGTTTGAAAGGCTAATTCCATCTTAAGGAGACCACCTTGCCTTATAGTTTGCAATTGTGATAGTAAAATACATATAGACTGTGAGACTTAAAGAAAAGCTTATTTCTGAACAGAACTAAAAAAGAAAATTTATGTCTGCTTATACTCTGAATAAAACTCAAGAAAGTATAGATTCTACATAAAGAGGTCCAAGATTACATTGCAGGCTGAGACGAAAAGGGGTGCTGGATGAGACACAACTAGACTATTCTTATTTAGCTAATTGTTGCTTAAATAATTCAAATTAAGTTTTACCTTCATTCAGATTAGGTGATGTTAGACAGCTGGTTCTTTTCTTTACTGTTTATTACAGAAGAGATTCTAAACTGAAAACCTGCTAAACACATATTTCTCCTACCTTGCACATGAAGACAAATTATACTGCTCAAAGAAAAGAAGTTTTCCTCTGCTTTGAGGATTTGTTTTTGTTGTTTCAGTTTTATTTATTTTAAAATCTATTCTTGATATAGCAAATGCCTTATAGGACTCACATTTGTAAGATTTTTCTTGTTAAGTACAAACTCTTGCCAACTCTCAAAATGGAATGGTTGCAAAATGTCATGTTAAGATTTTTACTAAAGATAGTGGGGGGAAGTTCTCAAAGTCCCATAATGTATGCTAATTACCCCAGAACTGAGCCATGATGTTGGATGTGCCTTTAAAGTTCCAACTCACTTAAGTATTTTTCCTCCAATAACCTCCTTTACATTGGATCATGGATTCATTTTACACCGCATTTGGAGCAGAATCTAATCTAGCTTCAAATCACCTTAGAGTCAGCTATGAGCTGTGGAATCTAGATTATACTCTTGATGTTCTTTCTAGGAGCCTTCTGTTGGCGATTTCTTCCTTTTTTCTTGCTACTATCTTTTGCTGAGAAGATTCCCTCTATGCTTTCCCTGCAATAGGAGGTAGCCAGCCATGTTGTGATTTCTCTCCTTTAAGACTATCTGGAAACAATCACAGAATAGTGTCATATTTTTAAGGGATATTACTTCTGGCAGCAAAAAGAAAAAAAGAGAAAATGACATGATATTTTTGAAAAGTCAAAAATTGCTAAGATTTCTTTAAAAAAAAAACAGCTAACTTTATAAAATATTCCTGACAAGCTCAAAGAACTCGATAGGAAAAAATAAAAGACAAGTAAAACAAACTTCTGCTGCCAGAAGTAATATTAATAATCAAATTAATCTAACTTAAAATGGGCAAAGATATCAATAGACATTTTCAAAAGAAGACATACAAGTGGCCAAAAGGTATATGTAAAAATGCTCACCATCATTAATCATCAGAGAAATATAAATCAAAGCTATAATGAGATATAATCTCACCCCAGTTAAAGTGACATTTATTAAAGAGACAGGAAATAGGGGATGCTGGTGAGGATGCAGAGAAAGGGGAGCCCTCATATGCTGTTTGTGGGAATGTAAATTAGTACAACCACTTTGAAGAACAGTATGGAGGTTCCTCAGAAAACTAAAAATAGAACTACCATATAATCCAGCAATCCCTCTACTGGGTATATATCCAAAAGGAAGGAAAGCAGTTTATTGTAGAAACATCTGCTCTCCTGTGTTTATTGCAGCACAATTAACAATAGCTAAAATATGGAATCACCCTAAGTGTTGATCACTGGACAAATGGATAAAAAATATGGTACATATATGCAATAAAGCATTATTTGGTTATAAAAACGAATGAAATCATGTTAATTGCAACAACATGGGTGGAACTGGATGGCCTTATGTTAGGTGAAATAAGCCAGACACAGAAAGACAAATATTGTTTGTTCTCACTCATATCTGGGAACTAAAAAAAAATGAACTCATGGAGATAGAGTGTATAATGATGGTTACCAGCATCTGGAAAGAGTATTAGCGAGTGTGGTGGGGGGGGTGGAGGGAGAAGGGACAGTTATTCAATACAAAAATACAGTTAGATAGAAGGAATAAGATGCTGTGTTAAATAGCACAATGGGATGACTATAGTTAACAATAATTTATTGTCCTCTCAAAATAACTAAAAGAGTGGAATTGGAATGTTTCTAACACAAATAAATGATAAATGCTTAATGTAATGAATATCTCAATTACCCTGATTTGATCATTACATATTATATGCTTGTATTAAAGTATCATATGTACCTCATAAATATGTACAACTGTCATGTATCCATAACAATTTAAAATTAAAAACTTAAATATTCTTGCCAGACTGACTTCATGGGCAAGCAATTGGCCCAGTCTCACTGCCAGGGACATAGATGAATCCCAGACTTAGTTTAATCCTCTAGTGTGTCATTTTTGAAACTCTTAATGACATTAAATAAGATTCCATGTAATTTTATTTTCCAATAGGTTCCACAATTATGTAGTCAATTCCTGATAGTCCTAAGGATCTAAATAGAACAATCTCTCTCTTTCTTGCATATCATTATATTTCCTCTTGAAAACTCTGCCAATCACTGTAAAACATTTTATTCTGGAAGTGGTGCAAAAGCCTCTTTTATAGAGGGTCTCAAAATCCCATGCCTTTCCCAAATTTCACTTAGATCTATAACCGATACCATTCATTATGCTGGGTAGATCAATGACTGAAGCAATACCCAGTATTTGGAGCAGAAATTGTGCTTTCAATCACTCTTCAGACTGTATAAATCAATTCTACGTTGGAGGAGCTACAACAGTAGCTGTAAAAAGAGAGATACCCAGGCTCAGACATAAGGAAGAAACTACTTTTTGGTAGCAATGGGGACTGGGTATAGAAGATAGCCATTGGTATTTATTCTACTGGCTACTTTCTCACTTCTCTTGTCATTAATTTCCTTCACTAGCTTAGGTTTTAGGCAAGTTGAAAGACAGGGATGATTCTTATCCTATCTGGAGAGGATGAGAGGAAACACAGGTAGTTAGAAAAAGGCTGATAGTGATGGAATTGCAATGGAGTGGCAGTGGAAGATGTGATGGGTATCAATAGAATGTCTTAGAAACACTTGGCCGGCTAAGGAAGCCACATTGAAATTGCCACAAAAGCATTGAAGTTCCGTAATCTTCTCCTAAGTAAATCAAAGCCCATCCAAAGTAAAATGGCTCCTCTTGCTTTACTTGGAGGTATGCAATGTGGTGGTTTACAGATTAATTCTGTGCTCTTCTAAGTATAATCTACCCAAAAGCTTACCAACTTGAAAGAATAGGAATTTTTTATTTTAGTCTACGTGAGACTACATAATTTTATGAGACACACTTTTTGCTTTTTCCCAAGCAGCTTTCCTTTTCAAAATTCAATCCAGTCATCAATGATTGAGCCAATATATTCATATATATATATATATAAAGATGATTGCATTGTATTTGTTTCATGTGAATTTTATTTTTTAATTTTAATTTTTATCTTGTTTCTGAGAGTTGGGTTCTCACTCTGTCATGCAGCTGGAGTGCAGTGGTGTGATCCTAGCTCACTGCAGCCTCGAACTCCTGAGCTCAAGTTATCCGCCCACCTCAGCCGAGTAGCTGCGACTACAGGTGCATGCTGCCACATCTGGCTTACATAAAGTTTAGATGTTTCTGGATGCTTTAAGACTAACTCTTCACCTCTGATAAGAGGGTACTTTTCACATAATATCTTGTTTGAAGAATCTAACTTTCTTGTGTTAAAAAGAACTACTGGTAAGTTAAAGCAATCTTAGTTTTCATGATTGGTTAAATTAAACATAGCCCTTTACCGTATACTACTCTTAGTAAATATATAATTTCATAAATATATATTATCCTAAAATGATATCATCATGAAATTCTTACTTGGTTAATTATTCAAACAAGTTAATTAACTTTATATGCATATGATCTTGATAAAGTGTATAATAAGACAGTTCACAGTAAAACTGCAGTTCTAATTGCCAAATGGATTTAAAACTAAGGTTCATACTCCATTTCTCAATCTCCTGGAGATGAGCTATCCATCTGTGGCACAGGTCTTTACATATGATGTAGTTGGTTCAAAATACCATGAGAAAACAAAGTCATAAAATACTTTGTCAAAACAAATGTCAAATACAAACAAATTTAGAGAAAAAAATTATTTGCCAAATTAAGTAATATCCCCCCTTATACACAATTTATGTGTCAAAATATTTCTATAAATATATTTTTCTTATGATTAGGAAGATATTTCAAGACATCAAGAGAAAGATAATGGAAAAATAGAATATGATATTTTTTCTTTAAAGTGCTTAGGAATTACATAGATTTTGTTACTACTATTACTATTAAAAATGTATTACTCTTTTATTACTATTTTATTACTACTATTTATTTTCTCTATCTCTAACTAAGAGTCTTTGGTTACCTAAAAGTACTTCAGAGATGCCCCATCTGGTTTGGTCTTTGAAGGTATGTATCAGAGGAGGTACGAAAACTTGCAGATGGGCATCTTGGAGAAAGACAAAGTCCACTCCACTATGATGATGGGTTCTTGATTTTCCTATTTCCCTCACTTCATCTTGCCTTTATTGCCTTCCCCTTTTCTCTCTTCCCTTGTCCTCAAATCGTATTTTCACCTCTTCTAAGATATTCAATTCTAGACAATCACATAATTACATAATAGCGCATCATATAGCTTATTTTCATGTTTTAAGGTTAAATAATTATAAATGCTGAAATAAAAGTGGAAGTCATTAATGTTATTCAATGTCTTTAAAAATAAAATCATAATTTATTATTTAAAATTAAATTTTGTTTAAAATTTATTTATACATTTTGGATATAAAGTTTCATAAGTATTATTCTACATTAAAAATTATCCTGTGATGATGCAATTATTTCATGGCTGCGCTGTTCAATACTGTAGATTCTAGCTGTGAGTGATCATCAAGCACTGAAAGCGTGGCTACTCCTCTATTTGTTTAATTTTAAATATTCTAAATATAAATGAAAACAACCACATGTAGACAGTTGCAACCATGTTTCACAATCACACTCCTATACTGTAAAACATGAGCAATTTCTCTTTGTTTTTAGTATAACATCATGATCAAATTAAGAAAGTAATAACTTAGCTCATAAAACTAATTACAGGTATGAATGTAAAGTTTTATATGTATATATAATCCATTGAATGCTTTACATTCTACGAATCATTATAATATCAAGTGCTATTTTTCATTAATTAAACTTTGTATCTAATAATATAAAAGCTGTGTGCTATAAAGTATAAGCAAAAATATTACTTTTGTTGTGAAATACATGCTTTTAACTTTATTGCTATACCTAAGCAAAGACGACAGAGTTTAATATATTATTTTAAAGAGAGAGTAAGGCTTTGGAAACACATAGAGTAGTGAATCAAACGTTCTAAATGGAGTAAGCAACATGAACAAAGTCATATAGGTAGAATTCAGCGTAGAAGAGATGAGTGATAGCTGACAATAAAAATAGTAGTTTTGGGTGGTACAATAGTTTAGAAAGTTGTATTCATTTTTTATTGCTACATACCCAGTTACTATAAAATTTGTGGCTTAAATCAACAAACACATTATTTCTGTTTCCATGAGCAAGGAGTTGTGTCCTCTGCTCAATTGCATAGGCTGAAATCAAGGTGCCAGCTGGTTTATTTCTCATCTGGTGGAAACTACTTCTAGTCTCACTCAGATTATTGACAAAATTCATTTCCTTGGTGGCTGTATGACTGAAGGTCTGGCTTCTTATTGGCTGTCACCTGGAAGCTGGATTTAGAGACACCAGAAATATATGGGTAGATGTTCCCCACTACACCCTGCTGCCAGGCAGAAGATAAGAGGATTCTTCTCTAGAGGAAGGGAACAGTTGCAAAAAATTTATCTACACATCCATGTGAAAAATTTCAGAATGAAAGTCTATGAAAACTGAAGAGTTTTAATTTTTATGAAAGTTAGCTCTAAGGTAGTTTAGGCGGCACCTACAGAGCTTACTTGTAGAAGTAGAATGTAGAATTAAACTCAGCCATTATTTCAAATCCAGCAGTCTCCTGGAACTGGTGGTCCAAAAGACAAAATAAATAAAAATGAAAAAGGTTCTAACATGTAAAATTGATGTACTCCTGCAGCAGATTGATGAATTAGGATTTGAAGGAAAGGTAGAAGAAGGCCAGGGAATGATTAAATTAGTTGGACTGTTGAGAGAGTGAATTTTAGATCCACAAACTTCACAATTGAAAATTTTGCTGCCCAAGAGAAATAAATGAAAATTTGTGATGTGGATGGACTCTTTTAGAGAGTAGGAGATGGCCGGTCCCAGGTAGATGACTATTTGCTGAGAGAACAACACATGAGTTATGTAGAATTAAAGCTACTGGTGAAGAAACAAAAGTTAAGAAAAACAGTCGAAAAGACTGATCATAAGAAGAATTGTAAAAAGAAGGAACAAGTTGAAAGAGAAAAAAGAGTTGGAGGAAGGGAAGAAAGATAAAAAGAAAGGGTTCAAGATAGAGAAAGAAGACATTGACAAAGTAGGTACACAATCCAAACTTGTGAGTGAAGACGAACCAGCTCCCAAAACCCCAAAAGATCACAAGATAGAGGAAAAAAGCTGAAGCAGAAGTAGAGATGAATAAGGGAGAAGGATGATAGAAAACAGAATACTCCTATTCAGGATCAAAGAAGATAAAAAAGCTGAGGTTGAGAGTCATAAGCACGGGAATAAAACTTGGATCAGAGAATAAGATAGAAAATCCAAGTAAAAATAAAAGGTGATCTGATGACAGAAAGAGAGAGAAAGGAAGAAGTAATGTGAAGTCCAGCAGTCAAGGAGAGGACTGTGATTACACATAACACCAAAGTTCATGATATTATATTTCATAGATGTGTTTTTCCATCATATTATTTTTAATTTCTATAGCTATGGTTTACTAAATTTAATAGAAAGTTGTCACAAGCTACAGTCGAAAGTTGTATTTCTACCTTAACCTTGATATTCCATTTATTCAACATGGATGTTTCCCAGTAATCTGCTTGGTTTGCTTAAGTTGTAGTTATGTGATTGCTTTATAATACTATCCATGGTGCAGTTCTGACTTGGGAGAAAATAGAAAGTTTCAGATCTTCTTTCTGTGCCTTGCATAAAGACCTTTCTGACTTCTTCTCCCTATATCATCGTGAGAAAAGGATTATAGCCAGCTTTAAATTGTGTGCCTCACATCTGTCAAAGAAAGCAAGAGAAAGAGCAGAGGATAATGACCTGTCAATCAATAATACTCTTAACTTCTCTGTTTTTTTTTTCAATAAACCTTGAATATGATATTATTCTGAGTTAGCTTTAAGAGAGGCTTATAGATTTGGATACCTACACCTTTGTACTGTTGTAGAGTGTCTTTTTCCCCCAGTCTTGTTACTCATTATTAAAAAGCCCTCAAACTCAGTACTTCTATGAAGCCTGTTCTCACTTCAGTAATTTTACTCTTTGGAGCCTCAGAAACACTCACTAGGCAGATCACTAGTTTGGCATTTGTCACATTCTGCTTTTATAATTAGTTACTGTTTGATATGTCTTCTGTATTTAGTTACATTGCCATTTCCTGTGGGTCAGGAGTTTCATTTTGAAACTCCAACATATAAATAGACTTATTTCAAGAATGCATTCAGTAAGTTCTTATTTAGAAATCACAATTCATTTCCCATATAAAAACAGAGTTAGGATTCTATGACGATTAATTCTATTATCAATACTATTGATTAAATGGGCTTTTCAGAGGAGATTAAGCCAGTAAAAATATGAATGGGGTTTATGGGTCAGGCATACCAACATATCATAACTAGCTTTGGTTACTTTAATGTAATACATTGCATTTTCAACATGGAGGCATTAGCAATTTCTCTCTCACCATTCCACCAACCCTAGAGTGCTGTCTTAGCTATAAGTAGGAAGTAGAAATATGACTTGTTTCACACTTCTTTTCTACAGTTCACTTCTATAACTTAAAAATTGAGGCAAGTACATGGTCTCTTGTGAAATATACCTAATATTGTTTTTAAAGCCAAAAATACATGTTTTGGAAAATCATGAGTTAAATCTGCAGGACCTAGATTTATGTTAACACTTCAGCACAATGTTTAAATTGATAGAATTATACACTTAAATATCTATCCATCTATAAAATTTATATATACATAATATATAATTGTGTAAAGAATAAAGAAAATAGATATTAAAGATGTACCTCAGTGTTGTATCACGCAAGCTATTTTAACAATCTGGAGGTGTGTATTTGATGTCATTGCCAATAAGATTAAAATTAAATTGGATATGTTGGCCAAGAAATTAGCCAACATGCTTTGAATATTATATTCCTGCTATTAACATTCTCTAAAATAGGCTTTCTATTTTTAATATGCTACCTGTTCTGAGGATCTTCTAGTGACACATTAAAAACAATAACAAAAGGCAAAACAACAACAACAAAAACAAAACAACTGACGGCAACAACAGTGAAACTAATGTTGCCCAAGTATTGTAAAGAAGCATCTGGCATTAGTCAGCATGAAAAGATGAGAATAGATAAGATGTAGAGAAGCAATTGTAGCTGTAAAGTTCAGGAAAACTGGGAAGTAATAGCAACAGATTCCACCCCCCACCCATTCTTATGTTGATTAACAATATGGATTGTGGCCTCCTAGGCAAGTGTCTCTAGGCTAGAATGCCATAGTTAGTCACTGGCTAGTAAACTCACATGATTACTGCCCTGCTGGGTTTTCTGATTTTCTAGAAGGTACTGATAAGAAACAATAAAATAAATACGTGATTTCAAATATAAGAGCCAAACTACATATGTAAATAGATTTATGAGCCAAGGTTGTTTTCCCAAATAAAAAATACGTAAATAGCCCTGATAAGTTTTTTTTTCTTTTTCTGATGAGTTTTAAGGGAAAAATGTTCTTTTTCATATGTACATGAATATAAAAGTATAAATGAGAAAAATGTCTAATATGTTTAAAATTTTAATATAGTTTAATGCAAAATGCAAAAGCTCATTTCAAATTGTTTTTTATTTTATTTTATTTATTTGTTTGTTTATGAGACAGGGTCTTGCTCTGTTACCCCAGGCTGGAGTGCAGTGGCGTGATTGTAGCTGACTATAACGTCCAACTCCTGGGCTCAAGTGATCCTCTTGCCTCAGCATCCTAAATAGCTGGAGATATAGGCATACACCAACATGCCCAGCTAGTTTCACAAGTTTATTTTATAGAGTTGAAGTCTTGTTGCATTGTGCAGGTTGGTCTTGAACTCCTGACCTCAAGTGACCCTCCATCCTTCATCTCCCCAAGTGTTGAAATTACAGGTGTAAGCCACCACACCTGGCCTTTTTTTTTATATTTGTATATATTTTGGATAAAATGAATTATCATCCATTATCAAAGCTCTCCTATGAGGAAGGATCATTATCATCACCTCCACTTTACACATCTGTTGATTGAGACTCATGGAGGTAAAGAAACTTCTCCAGGCTACATTTACAGAGCATCTATTTGTTGTTGTTGTTGTTGTTTTATAATACAATTTTGTATTTATCAATCCTACTTCCATAAAGCTGGAAAAAAATCAGCAGAACTGAAAGTTCGTGGCGCTCATTATTTACTTAGAAGTGTTTGAGCTTCTTTTAAAAAACCTACTTTTGTTTTATTTTAAGTTCTAGCATACATGTGCAGGACATGCAGGTTTATTACATAGATAAACATGTGCCATGGTGATTTGCTGCACCTATCAACCCATCACCTAGATATGAAGCCCCCACATGCATTAGCTATTTATCATGATGCTCTCCCTTCCCTATGCCCCCAACCCCAACAGGCCCCAGTGTGTGTTGTTCCCCTCTCTGTCCAAAGAGCATCTATTTGTAATCCTACTTCCTCCTAGAAGGTGGAGGTTCAGAGATAGATAACAACTATCTTGATTCTTCTTTTGTCCTGTAGTTCCCACATCTTCTCACTAAGAAGTTCAGGGAAGGAGCATCTATTTTATTACTCCATCAGAAGGCCTTGTTTCCAAAAGCTCTGGTTGTTTTTCTCCCTCATTTTAAATCCCAGCAGCCCCAGCTCAAAGGATATCTGAAAAGAAACAGTGGACTTTGTGTTTGCTGGGCCAAGAGAAAGCATTGGGTTTGGTCATTGGATTTGCAATGTTCTCATCACAACTAAGTTTCTTTTTTTTTTTTTTTAAGTCCTTTTAAAAATCTTTTCATCTGTGCACAGTGTCTTCAGGGAAAGTTGGAGAATCTCCTTGTGAAACTCCTGTTAATCCTTCAGGCATTGTTCGTATTATAGTTGTAACACATGACTATGCCGTTTTTACTACTCTTGGTTGACTGTTAGATTCTTTGCATGCCTCAGCCTGCCCCAGTGATTATGTATTTTTACCCATTATGTGGTCTGGATGCGGCTGTTTGGACAGTGAATTTGTTATTTTACCCTCAAATTTACTATATTTTTTCATTTCCAATTTTAATATAAATCGCCTAAACATTCACACAGTTGACAAAACTAGAAACCTAGGCATCATCCTGAAACCTGACTTTTCCTATTCCACTAAGAGCTGGTCAGTTACCAGTTGTTTCTTTCACTTACAGTAGTTTCTGTAGGTTTCTCCTTCCTCGGTGACAATACTTCAGTGCAAGCCACTCTCACTGGACTGTACGCAAACACTGGTAATTTTCTCTGGTTCTAGTCTTGCCACATATCAGTCCATGATTCACACAAATCATGATTATCTTTCCAGACTCAAAATCAATCATGCCATTCCCCCCTGACCCATATTGCTTTACCAAACTGTTTTTGGGCTCCACTCTCATCTCTTGCTCTTCCTATAGCTGTATCCTATTCGACACCTGCTGACACTGGTGTTAAAGGGATTCAGGAAAGATGAAGTCAAAATGATATTTATTTCAGCAAAATCTAAGAAAGATATCAAACTATATTAGCATACTACTCATCACACTGTAGTTTGCCTGCCTGCAGGCACTACATATAAGAGGTAAGATTTGAAAAAAAAAAAAAGTTTGAAAAGGGCAATCATGAGCTGTGATTAATATCTAGAAAACAAAATAAATAAGTCTTGTTTTCTTTTTCTTTTTTCTTTCTTTCTTTCTTTCTTTCTTTCTTTCTTTCTTTCTTTTTTTTTTTTTTTTTTTTTGAGACAGAGCTTCCCTCTGTCACCCAGGCTAGAGTGCAATGGCAGGATCTTGGTTCAATACAACCTCCGCCTAAAGAGATTCTCCTGCCTCAACCTTCCAAGTAGCTGGGATTACAGGTGCCCACCACCGCCAGGCTAATTTTTGTATTTTTGATAGAGATGGAGTTTTGACATGTTGGGCAGGCTGGTCTTGAACTCTTGACTTCAGGTGATCCAAGCACCTAGGCCTCCCAAAGTGCTGGGATTACAGGCATGAGCCTCCATGCCCAGCCAGGTCTACTTTTTTTTTTTGAAACTTTTTATTTAACCCTTCATTTCTGGGGCTGAGATACGAACTTCAGAACATCTCTCTCACAACATAATTTTAACCTACTCTTTTCCTGGCTTCCTGACACTCCATGTTGTTCTTTCTACCCTCTAGGTCTTTTCTCAACAGAGACTTCTGCCTCTCAGTATGTGGAGATTCCACTGTAGGTACATTTCCATTAGATAAGATGGGAATAGTAATATGGCATCCTACCTGTACTTACTTGTATTCCTATTAGTAGAAATAATTATGTAAGTTATATAATTTAAAACATACGTAACGAGAAGTAAAGCAAATTTTACTTAGCAATATGAAATGTCTGTCACCATATACATGGATAGACAGACTCACATAATCCTCTTTATTCAGTGTTCTTTGTTTGTTTGTTTTGTTTGTGGTTTTTGAGACAGAGTCTTGCTCTGTTTCCACGCTGGAGTGCAGTGGTGCGATCTCGGCTCACTGCAACCTCTGCCTCCCAGGTTCAAGCGATTCTCTTGCCTCAGCCTCCAGAGTAGCTGGGATTACAGGTGCCTTCCACCACACCCAGCTAATTTTTGTAGTTTTAATAGAGACAGGGTTTCACCTATTTGGCCAGGCTGATCTCGAACTCCTGACCTCAGGTGATCTTCCAGCCTCGGCCTCCCAAAGTGCTGAGATTACAAGCACGAGCCACTGCGCCCAGCCCATTCAGTGTTTGTAAAATATTGATTAATAATTTTAGGGTGTCCAAATATTAAAAATAGCAATGTAAATATAAAAAAATTAAACATTTAAAATAAGCACTGTCTTATTCTGTGGCAATCTTTGTTCATTTTTCTTTGACTTACATGTTTCTTTTTCAAGGTAGATTAAATCTCAAAAGTATGCTTAAGTTTGGCTCTGTTAAAGACCATCTGGAAGCTTGATACAGTACTTTGGTTCTTGTGATGAAGAAACATCTTTTTAAAATGCAATAAAAATGATGTTCAACTGCTATCACTTCAAGGTCTATAACCTAATTGTGTAATAACTCTTTTCCTCACTTCCCGTTCTCTCTCTCTCTGTCTCTTTCTGTTTCTCTCTTTGTTTAGCTTTTCTGTCTGTATTGCTGTCTCTTTTTCAAGAGATATGCATACATTCCCACATTCATACATACATGCACATACATATATCCATACACACTCAGATACTTGTCTTTATACACCATATTTATGGTCACATACGGATATATGATTTTAGCATCTTCATTTACCATATTCATGTCATCAATGGATGGTATGATTTTGATTTCCACAAACTCAATTCATCCATTAACTGAATTGAACTCTCCTACATTTTATTTCCAAAAAGTACCTGAAGAATTTGCTTCAAAATTCCGCGTTTTAGATCTTGTTTTCTTTTAAGAATATTACATTCATTATAAGAAAACAGAATCTGTGAACAAAAATATTTTTGATATTCTTTAGAATTTTAATCATGGTTTGAAGTGGCTGTAGAAAATATGAAATAGACGGCCCGGCGCAGTGGCTCACGCCTGTAATTCCAGCACTTTGGGAGGCCGAGGCGGGTGGATCACGAGGTCAGGATATCTAGACCATCCTGGCTAACACAGTGAAACCCCGTCTCTACTAAAAATTCAAAAAAAAAAAAAAAAAAAAAAAAAAGCCTGGCGTGGTGGCAGGTGCCTGTAGTCCCAGCTACTCGGGAGGCTGAGGCAGGAAAATGGCGTGAACCCGGAAGGTGGAGCTTGCAGTGAGCAGAGATCACGCCACTGCACTCCAGCCTGGGGACAGAGCGAGACTCCGTCTCAAAAAAAAAAAAAGAAGAAGAAGAAATAGACTAGAAAATATCACTTGGAATGTCAATAATGAAGCAGAAATATATTTCATGCTTTCACTTTTACTTTGTGCTTGGAGACATAAGTATTCAACTCGAAAAGGATCAGATTAAGATGGAAAGGTTTAATGATCTGTTCATGTACATCCCCTATGCTGGGTATAGTTATAAAGTACTTAGTATATACTAGGCACAGTTCTGAAATTGGTGATACATTTTTCCTTAAATTCTCAACAGATTAATTTACTGTGTGTGTACATGTGTGTGTATAATTTAAAGTACCTTCCTCATGATTGGAAATGCATAATTATGAAGTGCCATACAATGTTGCACTAGACTTTAAATTTTTGCATTAAAATCTACTTTAATATTAACTGTAGTTTTTGCTTTTATTAACTACTTTTCATAAAGCACATGTTGTTATCCACTTCCTCTATCATTTTTGCGTTTTGAGTGACTTTCTTCTAGAGTGTATATAAAAGGGTTTTTTAAATTTTATTATTATTTTGTGGTAGGTAGTCAAGCCACACTTCCTGTATTTTATTTTACTATGTTTGATTAATATTATATTAATTGAAAAATCAAAATTGTATACATGTATGGGGTATAATGTGGTGTTTAAATATATGTATACAATGTAGAATAAAATGATTTCTTTGTAATTCAGACTTACAAATTTTGTAAGTGGAGTAGTTAGTGCAATAAACATATTTATTGTAAATATTAATTCGTATATAATTACATCATCTTTTAAAAACATAATTATCAAATTTTCTATGCTTAATTTAGGCAATTATTTTCTTTGATTAAAGTTTTTACTTTTTTCTCATATAATTTAGACAGCATATACCCTGTTTGATATCTTTTTGTAGTTATCTTCACAATATTACGATTTGCACAGAGTTAATCTACAAAGTCTAAAATTAATAAGTATATCACTAGTCTAAAATTAATAAGTATCTCATTCTCCTTCAGAAATAAACAAGGCCAGGTGCATTGAGCTATGTTTGCAGTCCTGGCTATTCAGCTAAGGTGGGAGGATTGCTTGAGACCAGGAGTTAGTTCATCTTGGGCAACATAGCAAGACTCTGTCTCTAAAAAAGAAGGAAAGAAATAAGAACATGCATTTGACTCTGGTGGCCTTTCCCATCTTACATGATATTACTGTTGATTATTTTACTCCTACATCATTATTATGCCTTCCAAATTAGTAGTGACGACAATTTGTAATTTTGATTAATATTTATTGAGATTCATTTTTGTGCTTAGCAGTTTAAATGCTCACTATTACTTCTTTCATATAAGAACTTAACTCTAGGATTTTTTTTTGTTGTACTTCTTATGTTCACCTTTGGGAAGTTCCTTTAGTGAGGAGTCTATTGTTAGAGACCAAATTCATTTTTTATTTTTCTTAACACTGTTTAATATCTTTTATATTTTAAAATAGTTTTTCAACCCTGGGCCCCTCCTTCCCTACCCGTTAGTTTCTAGTGTCTATTGTTCCCACATTTATGTCCACATGTGCTCCATGTTTAGCTCCCACTTATAAGTAAGAACATAGAGTATTTTGTTTTCTGTTTCTATGCTAATTTGCTTAGGTTATTGGCTCCAGCTGCACCCATGCTGTGGCAAAGAATGTGATTCCACTCTTCTTTTTTTATAGCTGCATAGTGTTCCATGGGGTATATGTACCACAATTTCTTTATTCAATTCACTGTTGATAGGCATGGGTACCTGGGTTGATTCTGTGTCTTTGCTACCCCAAACTTCAGCATCACGTAATATGCCCAGGTAACAAACCTGCACATGTACCTGTATTTAAATAAAAATTGAAATTATTTTTAAAAAATAGTTTAACTGGCTATAAAATGTTCTGGGGAATTGTTTTCTCTCAGTAAGTTGTATGCATTTTTCTACTGTTTTTGACTTCAGCTGAAATATGAAAATTATGAAAAAAATTTGGAGTGTGTCTTAGTTCTACATCCCCCTTTGGAAAAGCCTAATTTTGATCCCTTTCCCCAGCCTGGACCTTAAATCCCAAGTCTATATCCACCTAGAGCAACTACCTACTATGGTTCCTTTGTGTGTGTGTGTGTGTGTGTGTGTGTGTGTGTGTGTGTGTGTGTGTGTGTGTGTGTGACAGGTCCAAGGAGGAAGGGCTCCTGGTTAAACTCTAGAGTGACTATATTATTCCATTCTTGCACTGCTATAAAGAAATACTTGAAACTGGGTAATTTATAAAGAAAAGATGTTCAATTGGCTCACATTTCTGCAGGCTGTACAGGAGCCATGGCCAGGGAGCTCTCAGGAGACTTACAATTATGGAGGAAGGCAAAGGGGAAGCCAGCACATCCTCCATGACTGGAGCAGGAGGAAGAGAGAGCAAAGGGGGAAGTGCTACAAACTTTAAACAACCTGACCTCCTGAGAACTCAGTCAGTATCACAAAATCAGCAAGTGAGAAGTGCGTCCCCATGATCCAATCCACCAGCCTCCTCCTCCCACATTGGGGATTACAATTCTACATGAGATTTAGTGAGGACATAAATCCAAATATCAGTGACCAACTCTATTAGTTTTCCATTCCTGCTTAACAAATTACCACAAACCCGTAAGTTCAAAACAACACACATTTTAAAATCAAACAATTCTATTGGTTGGAAGTCTAGGTGTAGCTTACCTAGGTCTTCTGCTTCGAAGTTTCACTAGGCCACGATCCAGGTATTTGTTGGACACTGCCATTCTACAAGAAGCTTGACAATGGAAATTCCTGTTTAAACTCTATTGATCATTGAAAGAATTTATCTTAATAGAGAGAGTGTCTCTCTCCATTTGTAGATTGGAAGAAATGAGCTGCCAAGTTTTAAGAAGAACAACGGAGAGATCTCCATGGCATGGATCTGTTGATGACCTCCAGGAATCGAGAGCAGCCTCTGGCTGACAACCAACAGCAAAATGAGGACCTCAGTCCTGCAGCAGCAAGGAAATGAATTTTGTGATGCACTGGAATAAGTTACTAAGTATATTCTCCAATTGAGCCTATAGATGAAAAAGCAGTGGACCCAAAATCTTGATTGCAGCAGTGTAATTCCCTAAGTAGAGGACTCACAGCTAAGACATGCCCAGACTTCTGGCTTAAAAAAACCCGAGATATAATAAATATGTGTACGGTTTTAAGTTGTTAAATTTGTAGTAAGGCACTATACAACAGTAGAAAGTTAATGAGCCAGTGGTACCAGTTACCTAGAGTTGAAGCAGTTCCCAAGACATGGGGCTTTCAGTTTTAACATTTGGACAGTCTTGAACAAACTGGGACAAATTGGTCATCTTAAAATCCTCCTACTTCCTTGTTAAATCAAATGTGTGTTTTAAAGGACATGGCATAATTTTTCCCCAAAATTTCTAAGGATTTTATGCAAAGAGTTATTTTTATGATATGCACTTTGCAATGTTTTTTGGGAAGAGAAGTCTCTGAATCAAGCTGGATTTAAAGGAATTTAAGCTGCTATATTCCAAAGGATAATATGACCAGAAAATCATCTTTTAAAATGGTAGAAGAGCCAGGCGTGGTGGCTCACGTCCCAGCACTTTGGGAGGCTGAGGCAGGAGGATTGCTTGAGGTCAGGAGGTTCAAATGAACAGCCTGACCAACATGGCAAAACCCTGTCTCTACTAAAAATGTCAAAAATTAGGCTGGTGTGGTGGTGCGCATGTGTAGTCCCAGCTACTCGGGAGGCTGAGGAAGGAGAATTGCATGAACCCGGGAGGTGGAGGTTGCCGTGAGCCAAGATCACGACACTGCACCCCAGCCTGGTGACAGAACAAGCCTCCCTCTCAAAAATGATAAAATAAAACAAAGTAAAATAAATAGAGTAAAATGATAGAACAATAAACAACCAAATCTAACATGATTGTAACTGGCCAATATATTATTTTGTCAGCATATTTATAAAATTAATATGAACCTTGTGAAAACAGAACATCCAGCAAAGAGGAAATAGAGCCTCTAGGTTTATCTGGTAGATATAGAAAGATGACTTGTTTTAAAAAATAACTTAATTTTAAAGATCGTTCCTCTAATTATCATACATTTTTCTGCATTTATGATTTCATTTGGGGAAGTATAAATGATCCTGTGGTCACTTAATGGCTGCACTCTCTGAGCCCTTGCCAAGTGTTGACAGGTGTCTTTAAAAAGAGCCAAGCCACGTTGGCATGCTCCTCAAATTCGTTCCCTGGTCCAATCAGATAGCACTCAGACTAGCAGACACACACAAAGACAGACTGAGATTCATGCCAACACGTATCCTTTCAGACTCTGCCAGATTCTTACACTAGGCTGCATGTTGTCTAATGAACAGTATGCTGTATGGCTCCAAGTAACTGCTGCAAGAAAACACATCTTGGTACCTATCCACAAATCCCTTCTTTTACCTACTGAGCCAGAGATTGGATCAAGAACTATGGGATTCACCATCACATCCTGGTGTGAACCTGCACTGGCGATCAGCAAGAAAACATCCTAAAAAATGATTCAGTTCTAAAAAACTCTTCACTTCCAAGGAGTAAAATAAGTTAAAATAATCACACAAGGTATGGACTTAAAGCTCAGTATGCTGAGTTCAAATCCAAGCTCTAACACCTAGAGATATATATCCATGAACATATTAACATCACTAATGCTTCGTTTCCTCATTCATGAAAGAGAAAGAGTAATATTACCTAGTTCACTGGGTTGTTTTAAAGACTAAATGAATTAATATGCTTAAAGCACTGATAACAGCATCCAGAATATTATAATCATTATAATAATCATGATTATTGCTATTCCTTCATTGAAAATGTTGAAAACACAGGTATATAAGTGGTCTCAAAAACATTAGTCTGTTCCTGTAAACTGATGAAACTAAAAGAAAAGGCATTACCGCTATTTATTTTTAGATGGGATATTATCAAAATAAGTAATTTTTGAGACATTATAAAATGGAAAATGAAATAGGCATCATGAATAGATTTAGTGAGTTGTATATCTTGGTACTTAAGTAGGTACTTACCATAGCATACATGCCATGGGTTACAAACGTCGGCATACAGGAGAATTACCTGGGGAACTTTGAACTGTAACAATTGGTAAATGCCATGCTGGGAGATTTTGATTCAGTGAATCTGGGTTGAGTTTGAGGAATAGGGATTATTAAAAAGATTCTTAGGTGAGTCTCAGGGTCAACCAGGTATAACTACCATGGATCTGGAAAAAAAAATTACTGAAGATATTGAACCTACCTTGGCCCAGGTCTACATGCCAGGAAGCCTTAGAGACTCTGTATTAACTGCAGTTAAGTATGACTTGGTTGATGATTGTCTAGTTTGCATTTCTGTCAAATACTCTGAAGCACTCCATGTTTAATTACTTGCTTGAATGTCTTAAAACTATTCCATTTCTCTGCTAGCAATAAAACTGCCCAGCTAATCAAATGGAAGAGGTGAGAGTTTGATGCTAATGAGAAAACCAGTGTGCATGCCTTGAGATAGATCATTTTAGAGGACTAGTTGTTTAAGTGGGTTCATTTCAACATATTCACTTTTCATGCTTTTGTTATATATTTAATGGAGTATATTAAGTCACTTTGTATACTTATGCATTTATTTTCATTTTGGTGAAATAATTCCATTTGAAATATATTTATAATTTTTAAAAACCACATTTTTGCCACTGGACTGAATAGTGTGATGGTATTGAAATAACTGTGGAGCTGGCAGTGGTCGCAAAGATCAGCTGGACCTACATTCTTCTTTTATAGATTTGAAGGCAAAGAGGCTAAGACTCTCAAATGTTAATTGACCTTTACAAGATCTCAGATCTTATTAGTGGCTTTTCAAATTCTAGAAAACTGTTTGTGTGACTGCCAAGCCAATACCCTTCACTAAGCTCTGTGGCCTTCAAATAACTCCAAGTTCATATTTTTTTGTTGAGTGTTTTATTAATATTTAAAGAGAAAATTTGGAAGTTATACAAATGAAGGTTTTCTATGATTAAATTTCTCATTAAAAAACTAATGGGGTATTTAAATAAGTCTTTGAACATCATTAATTTTGTAATTCAAAATACCTTATTTTTGTGGATGAAAATTCTATTTAATATGACCTTTTTAATATAAGCATATGAAATTAAATCTCCTTTTCTGACTGTGAATGTTGTAATAAGAAGGTGGTTGGTTGGTACTTAAGTGGTCTAAGAATCTCTATTATACTTTTTTTTTTTGATTGAGTTAATTCCCTTCATTAGAGCATGCTAGACAGACATGAGGAGCTAAGCTTTGTCAGCTCTGTAAATCCTTCCTTTCTCAGCTAAGGCCAGGTAAAACTAATGCAGAAAAAATAAAAAATAAAAAGAAAAAAGATCATTTAGAGAGGCACCTGTAGAGAACAGGTTAATAGAATATTTTCCAGTACAGGATTTTTAGAAGAATGATAAATATGGACTGAATTTTACTTGACCTTTTATTTAATAAGAAGAAAGACTTTCAAAAGAACACAAAACCTAACAAGGTAAATATCACAGAAAGGGCACAGAACATATCCAGAGGTTTTTCATGACTTCGATTTTATTGGATAAGATATTATTTTTCTTAACTTTTTGTGTATATAATATGTTTCTAAAATGTTCAGCTCATTATCAATTTTGAAATTAATACATTTTTAAAAGCAGTTAGATTTTTACAGAAAATTTAAGAAGAAACTACAGAGGGTTCCCATATACTCCTTCCCATTATCCTCCAATTTCCCCTATTATTAACACATCATTTTGATATAGTACACTTATTACAATTGATGAAACCATATTGATACATTGTTATTATCCAAAATCTATGGGTTTGCACTTTGAGAAATACAGTTTTATGTATTTTCACAAATGCATAATTTCATGTATTATTTTAGGATCATACATAATAATTTCACTGCCCCCAAATCCTGTGCCCCACATATTCATTATTCCCACCAAACTCTTCAACGACTAATTTTTTTTTAATCTCTGTAGTTTGGCCTTTTCCAGAATGGCTTACAGCGACAGTCATAGAATATGTAGCCTTTGTGGACCAGCTTATTTCATTTAGCAGTATACATTTAAGTTTCCTCCATGTATTTTTGAGACTTAAGAGCTCATATCTTTTTATTGTTGAATTACACTTTTTGTATGGGTGTACCACTGCTTTTGTACCCATTTCACCTTTGAAGAACATCTTGACTGCTTCTAGTTTTAAGAAATTATGAATAAACTTGTGCAAAAATGTGCATGAATCCATGTTTTCAACTCGTTTGAGTAAATATCTAAAAGCTCAATTGCAGTTTCATTTGGTAGAATTATGTCAAGCTTTTTAAGGAACTTCCAAATGTTCTTCCAAGGTGGCTTTACCATTTTGCATTTCCACCAGCGATGAATGACAGTTCCAGTTTCTCCACACCATTACTAGAATTTGGTTTTCTAAGTATTTAGCATCTTGGCAATTGTAATAAATATATAGTGGTATATCATTGTAGTATTAATTTACAGTTCCCTAATAACATAATATTGAATCTATTTTCCTATGTGTATACCCTACTTGCTGAAGTGTTGGTTCAAATCTTTTGTTAACTTTTTAACTGAGTTGTTTCTTTTTCTCATTGTTGTGTTTTGGAGTTCTTTGTGTATTTTAGATACAGTTCCTTTATCAGAAATATATTTTATAAAAATTTTCTCCTGGTCTGTGGCTTTACATTCTGCTGATTCTTTTACAGAGAGAAAGTTTTAATTTTAATTAAGTCCAACTTACAAAATTTTGTTTTGTTTTTTTTTGTTTTCTTTCATGGATTGGGCTTTTGGTGTTGTGTCTAAAAACTCATTGTCACATTGTCAAACCCGAGGTCATGTAGATTTTCTCCTATATTGTTTGCTAATGTTTTATAATTTTTCATTGTATGTGTCTGTCTATGCCCCTTTTGTGAAAACTGTAAAGTCAGTGTCTTGATTTTTTTTTTCTGCATATGGCAATCCAGTTGATCCAAAACCATTAAAAAAAAAAAAAAGATTATCCTTTCCTCACTGGCATGCCATTGTGGCATTGTGAAAGATCAGTTGACTATGTTTGTGTGGGTCTGTTTCTGACTGTTTCTTTCCATTGATCCATATGTTTGTTATTTCACCAGTACTACACTCTCTTGATTACCATAGATTTTAGTAAGTCTGGAAGTTGTGTAGTGTCAATCCTCCGACTTTACCTTTTTCTTAACCGTTGCATTGAATCTTCTGTGTATTTTGCAGTTCCATATAAACTTTAGAATAAATTTGTCAATTTCCACAAAACAATATGCTTGATTTATGATCAGGATCTCATTTAATTTACAGATCAAGTTTGGGAGAACTCGCATCTTAACATTATTTGAGGCTTCCATATATGAATATAGAATATCTCTCTTTATTTAGAGCTTTGATATTTGTCCTCAGAGTTTTGTAGCTTTTCTCATATAGATCTTGTATGCATTTTTTTAGATTTTGACCTAAATATTTCATTTTGTGTTAATGAAAATTACATTGTGTTTCAAATTTATAATTACAATTGTTCACTGCTGGTGTATAGGAAAGCAATTGACTTTCATTAGCCAAAATCATATCCTGCAACATATATATATACATATATATGTATATATATATATGTGTGTGTATGTGTGTATATATATACACCTATGTGTGTGTAATTCAGGTTTAATTTTCATATATACACACGTGTGTGTATATATATATACACACACACATAGGTATATATATAAAAGTCCTATATATATATACATATATATATGTAAGTCCTATATATATGTGTGTGTGTGTATATATATATATATATATACACATACACACACACAGGTATATATATATGTATGCAATATATAAGTATGCAATAATTATATATATATTAATTGTTATTTGCTTCAGTTGTTTTTGAGCAAATAAGTTTTAACAAAAAGGTTTTTTTTAATAAAATTTTGTGGGAATTTTCTATACAGAAAATTATGTTATCTGTGAGCAAAGATAGATTTATTGCTTCCTTTTCAATTTTTATAGCTTTTATTTTTTTATTTTATTTTTTCCAGACAAATTTTTAATTTATTCTGAGAGCAGCTCTAAGAGATTACCTTTGCTCTTGTGCAGTTCTACCCCTTGCCTTCCCCTTTACTTGTCCCATCCAGCTTCCAAAGAGAATCATTTACAAAATAAAGTGTGCCTCCCAAATCCATACATCTCTTCCCTATGAAGAGAGTATTTAAGTCTCAATCATCTAGCCCCTCTTCAAGTCTCATAATTTGTGTATGGCCCCCATGTACATAAACATGTTAACATAAATTTTGTATGCCTTTTCTTCCTATTAATCTGACTTTTGTCAGTTCATTTTCAGTGAATCTTTGGAGGGTAGAGGGTAAGCTTTCCCCTGGCACCTCCATTATTATAAATGGTATTTTAAATTTTCATTTTCTAAGTATTTGTAGCTGGAGCATATATTGATTTTTTACTAAAATTATTATAGGAATTTGTCTACAGAATTTAAAATTTTTTATCTACACAATCATGCTGTGAATAGTGATAAATTTGTTTATTTTTTGAGTTCTTATGTTTTTTATTTTAATTTATTGCTTTATTGTACTGGCT